>NC_000005.10:21519941-21822972 GCF_000001405.40 Homo sapiens | reverse complement strand
AAGACAATTTAATATCGAGCCTTAAATTTTTCTATTGCGTTTAGCTGCTCAGAACTAGAAAAAAGTTTACAGGAATAAATTTCTCATTGTTCAGAGACAAGAAATATTGCTATTGTTACAGAAAATTTATAAATCTTAATTCATTAATATGACGGATATTGTGTGCATGGCAATTCTTATTCATGTATATGGTTAGTTAAAATCGAGAATGGGCAAATATAACATCTCAAAAGCGAAGTAATTTAACCAATAAAGTGAAGCTCTAGTGCCAAATACTTGACACTTAAAAACTATGCCCATCCTAGCCTCATCCTGGGAATGAGCAGCAGTGGATGTTTCTGTTATTACTGAGAGATTCCATTCACTGTATGTTTAGTATGCTTGACTAAAATCCAGCTTGAACCCAGCTTTGTTATCAGGATAGTTCTTTCTTATGGACAACATTTCTATTACTTTAATTTGGGCATATTGAAAATACAGCCTCAGGCTTTTAAGGAAATAGAGGGCATAAAATGTTCTTCCACCACCAAAACATTTTTTTTCTTCCTGAATCCTCCAATTTTAAAGATATGGGAAAATATTTTAATTAAAATTAAAACGACTTTTTAGAACTCTTTTAAGATCTGTCTTTCTTTCATCTCCACACCTCTATAGACAGTTTCCTATTGGCTATTGCCATTCTGATAGGAAAAATTATAATACATATAGACTATACAAATATTATATACAAATATTATAATATACAAATATTATAAAAGTTAACTAGTAATAAATAATACTGAATGAGTTTCATGCACTTTTGTATAAGTGACTTTCAAAAACAAATCTATAAAGTAGATATTGTTATACTAATTTTACAGATCAGGAAAAGAGAGATATTTTAAACGATCAGGAAAAGAGGGATGTTTAAAATATTTTGCCCAGGGTCACAGAGCTACAGGTACACAATTTCTATAAAGTTTCTTTTTACTCACACAATATGTTGTTTACTTGTATTTCCTTTTCGTGTTGTTTAAGTAAGGTGAAATAATTTTGTGTGATACATATTTAAGAAATTTAAAAAAATAAAATATTGATACAACAAAATTTTATTTCTAAGCCATTAGAAGGTAAATCACTCACACACACAAAAAGTATGCAGGATCATTTGAACAATCTAATGTTTGAATTCAATTACTGAATCAATAGTTCAGTGCTATATTTATTTTTTGAAGTTTAAATTGAAATGTAATATTTCAAATCATAGTCTATTTAGTTGGAATCAAGTGTATGTTTTTGAGTTTTTAAAAATGTTTAACATTTTCATCAATTTGAAATAATTTGTTCTTAAGCCCTCCAATATTTCTAGTGTTCTTGTATTATTAAATATGAATTATATTCACATTAGTTACTTGTATTTAGGTAACTTATTTGCAGTTAAACATTGACTTCCTTTTTTTTAAGTAACTTTAGAATTATTGTTACATAAAGATAAAATAAAATGTATTTCAAAAGTGAGTTTGTAATGGATTATTTTATCTTCTTTTTAACTTGCTATTGGTGTCATTGAATGTTGTGGTATTTTTAAAGTCATTCATTCACTTAATATATTTGTTCAGGTCCTATAATCTTTATTTTTAAGTAAAGATCTTCATTTATATTTTGTCAAGTAAATATATTTATTTTGGTGTTTTCATCAGTATCTGGAAATTTCCTGCAATAAACAAAAAAAGGAAGGTAAATATATTTTACATCCTTTTTTTTTAAAGTAGCAATGCATGTCCCCTACCTGTCCCCACTCTCCCCGCCCGACACACAGTTTAAGTCCTAATCAGTATCTTTTCAAATGACATAGTTACTGAGAGGATACTTAGCTTATAACTACCTGATTTTTTTCTACTCTTGGAACTAACAGGGAATATTATATTTAAGAATATGATCATTATAATTAGTTCACTGCATGCAATTTCCTCCTTTTCTATGGGAAAATGAAGATTTTGGCTAAGCACAATAGGTATATTTGATGAATTGTAAATATATATTTTTATTGACTGTGGACAATCTCTTGTCACCTGTTTTATTTCTCAATTTGTGTGGTACAGGTAGTGCCATTAAGATGTTTCATATGCATCAAAAGTAGGACGCCTGGAAGACGGTGGCGGTGTAATTACACAGTACATCATGAACAATCCAACTTTGGCATAGCTGAAGATTACTTCACAGTTTTGAATTAATCTGAATGACCTCAGCTTTATTGCTGTTGAGATTCCAGACATGATAAAATGTCAAGTCATTGGAAATAAACCGACAGAACCTAAACAATCTGACATGACAAATGCATAGTTTCTCTGACTTGTTCCATATTCTGCAGACTTTATTACCAGCTGTAATATTTTATTAAGAAACACTTATCTTAATGAACGTGTCTTCCACCTTACTAAAATGTATGTCTGCTGTGTAAAGAGTAGAAAATCTATTGCTCTGTATATTTGCATTTCACATGCACTAAAACTTAACACACACAAAAAGTAATCATTGCTTTACTTTTATCTTAATTTTGAAGGGGTGCATGTTAGTGGAATGCTAGTAAATCAATCATTATTGGACAATGCTATTATTTCAATTTATCACAATTTTTCAATGCCATTAGATAAAAATGGAATTTGTTGGCACTCTCTATGCTGACAACTTAAAACAAAACACCCTATTTAACTTAAATTGATAGAATACTACAAAGAATAGCTTTCTTTACATTTATTGTGACTAGCCCCATAAAATGTTCTTTTATAGAACATAAAGTTCGTATCTCAGCATATTATTGTCTTGGAAAGGGGGCTCTTTCATCTGCAGTTTGAATTATCTGATGCCCTTTGGATTACCTTTCAATGCTTTAATTTTTTTTCCCCCATATTGGAGGATCTCAACTCTGGCTAAACTCTTCACCTTCACTAACCATAATCCATTAGAGAGGACTCCAGGCTCTATCATTTTCATCGATGTGTAATTTCCTTTACTTTTGCTTTTAACCATCCAAATGTAAATGTAAAGCTAACTCATAAACCTAATATGTAACTTCAACTGGCTCTCATTGAATGGATTGGATGGAATAAACAGAAATGTCCCCAGCTCTTTAAGTGAGATGCACATGTGTTCCTAAATTTCTCATACTACTCCGCTCCTTATGACTCTCACTGTTTCACCCTTACCACTCCCACTGCTGGCCACATTTGAAGTTTGAAATCCACTATACTTGACGGCTCTCTGTCTCTCTGAACACTTGTTCAGTTATTTCCTTGATAATGTTTACCCCTAAGTTTCCTACTAAATGTCCTAATCAAGAAGGATTTCTAGTACACTATTCAACATCGACTTCCATTTCTCTCTTTTATTAGAAAAAAAATTTAGACTTTTTCTAACACTCATTTATGAGCCACGAGTTTGGACTATGACCAATCGTACCGTGAATTCAAAGCTTTTGATGTTCCTCAGATACTTCATCACAGTCACACAACAAGAGGCAAAAGATACAAACACAGTTTCTGATAAATCGTATTTCCATTTAACGGGCATTTTAGAAGAAAAAAAGGAAAATGAAAAATTACACGTTCTGTGCCTTGTCCTTTTTCTTTGGAATTTGTCCTTAAGTTTAGTACAACTGTAATAACTTTGTCACATGCTTTCTTGCCTCATTAAACAGAAGTTCAGGGACCCTTATATTTCCTAATATCTCAGGAGTGCCTCACTAGGATCATGGTTTAATTTATCTATTAAGAAATATTTATGATCTAAAGAAAGTAGTTCCAAAAGCCATGATAGATTCTGCTTATGTAATTAAGGCTATTTGAAATCAGATAGATTCCTCCTGAATATCTGGCTTTATCCTTCTGGTAGAAAATAGGAATGCAATGTAACCCATTCTTTTGTTTTTCTTCTTTGATTTGATTGCCTCAAATTCAATCACTGCTTTAAGTTCAGCAAACATTAAGCATCCCTAAATGACAGCTACTATGTTAAGTGCTTAGGAAATAAAAATAAAACAATAATCCTACCCTATGAGAAATTACTACTTTGATCAATTAATGTGACTTTCCTTAACTGAGATTCCTTCATAATATCTATGTAACATTTTAGCATTGTGACTTGGAAGGAGTTTTTTGTTGTTGTTGTTAGGTCTATAATGTTTATTTTTTTATTTATTTAAACTTTTAAGTGCATTTTTGAGAAAGATTCCTCATACCCTCTTTGAAAGTATGAATTAACTAAGCTAATTATTTAAATATAACTCTTGTGGACCACTGTAAAGTATCATTTTGTCTTATATGTAAAATAAACAAACTTTAGTTGAGTATTTAGCTCTCTTGAGACCAAATCACATATATGTTCCATGGAGATAATATGTTGGATTTAAATACGGCTGATCTGCATATTCAAGATAAATGGTAGATACCATTTTCTGGGGGAAGGAGGGAAGAAGGGAGATTTAACTGCTTCCCATGCTAATGAAATTACCAAGTTTTGAAACTGATTGTGAAAGAACTACAGGACCTCAAAAAATAATGGGAAATCAAAAAGAAAATATCTGGCAGAATCTCTACAAGATGTGATTGATTTTTTTCTCACACCTTCTTGGAGAAAATAACTGTAATATTGTAACATGATTTTTTAATGAACTTCCCTATGCAACAGACATTTATAGTAACTTCTTAATTTATTTTCCACAAATGTGTAACTAAAATTCTAAAACGAATGAATCACCATGGTTGATTTACCCATGGGAAAGAGCCATTCTAAATCCGGTAAGAGAAACTGAAAGTGGAACTCCAGTATCAAAATGGAAACTTTAGATTTTGGTGTTTAGTTTTGTTTCTTAATTTTTATTTTCTCTCATTTCCTTTCCTCATTTGAATTTGAACAGACTGTTGTTAAACTCATTAATATTTGCTTTAATGAAATGTCAGTAAAAGAGCATGCACTATATCTTTCTTGTGTGTCAAACTTTGAAAAATTCTACAAAACCTTAAAATAATGTCTATGTTTTTATTTTTTTGTAGAGTATTACAATTTTCCATGATTCTGAAATGTTTTATCTAAGTTTTGCTGATTCAGTATAAATTTCATAGTAATATAAACGCTCCACCTGGTGGTAAAAATAAGCATTTTACTTTTTTTTCTTTCTTAATGCTATTAAAAAACTTCGGGAGACAGAACTTTATGATTTAAAATATCAGTAAAAGTATATAGAAAGGTGACAAGTTAAAATTCACTAAATATAAGCTGAATCTTAGTCTATAATATACTATATTTCAATCTATCATCGACTAGAATTTTGATTATACAAATTATTTTACAGGTTATTTTTAGTTTAATGATGTATACTTATTGAAGTCATTAGTTTTAGGAAATATAACCTCAACTTTCTATATCTATATATCTATCACCTATCTATCTATCTATCATCTATCTATCATCTATCTATGTATCTATAACTTTTTATCTATGTCTTGCAACCTGTATTATTAGTACCAATTAATTTCATGAATAGTCCCACCCTCCCATTTGATATGTGGTACACTTTTATGCCATATAAGTGTGTAAAACAAGTCCTGCTAATAATTTTACTTTAGCATTCTCTACTATTTATAATGCCCAGTTAAAATTCTAGAGCAGCACATATTGAAGAGAAAAGTGAAGTTATTACTCCTAATCATAATCCTTAACTTGACAGCAAATTGCCTTTTCAATTTGCACTATAATGTTCTAAATGTGATTTACTTTCAGTGGACTCTATTTTTCAAGCCTTGTAATCTTACTATATCTCTTACTAACCCCACTGTCAATTCAAATTTTATATGTCTTATCAGGCATCTTCCACTTGAAAGTTCCTGAGTCTTCCCCTATTGGTTCAGCTATTGGAAGAATAAGAGCTGTGGATCCTGATTTTGGACAAAATGCAGAAATTGAATACAATATTGTTCCAGGAGATGGGGGAAATTTGTTTGACATCGTCACAGATGAGGATACACAAGAGGGAGTCATCAAATTGAAAAAGGTATATAGACAAATGTTGGGACAGTTGACTACTAAATAATAATTAAAGAAGATAAAAAATAAATATTGAAAATGACAAGTAATTTTAATTTTCCTTCAATTAGCAATAGAGTTGACCCTTGAACCATGTGAGAGTTGGGGTACTGATACTCCGTGCCGTCAAAAATCTGCATGTATCTTTTGGATCTTACAAAATTTCCGTACTAATAGCTTACTCTTGACCAGAAGCTTTACCAATCACATAAACATTTGACACATAGTTTGTATCTTATATATAGTATATACTCTATTCTTTTTTTTTTTTTTTTTTTTTTTTTTTTTGAGATGGAGTTGCACTCTGTTACCCAGGCTGGAGTGCAGTGGTGAGATGTCAGCTCACTGCAAACTCTGCATCCCAGTTTCAAGGGATTCTCCTGCCTCAAACTCCTGAGTAGCTGGGATTACAGATGTGCACCACCACGCCCGGCTAGTTTTTGTATTTTTAGTAGAGAAGGGATTTCACCATGTTGGTCAGGCTGGTCTCAAACTCCTGACCTCGTGATCCACCTGCCTCGGCCTCCCAAAGTGCTGGGGTTATAGGCGTAAGCCACCACACCCAGCCGTATATACTGTATTCTTACAATAAAGTAAGCTAGAGAGGAGAAAATGTTATTAAGAAAATCATAAGCAAAAGGAAATGTATTTACTATTTGTTAAGCACTAGTGGATCATCATAAAGGTCTTCATCCTCATCATCTTCACATTGAGTAGGCTGAGGAGAAGGAGGAAGAGGAGGGGCTGGTATTGCTGTGTCAGGGATGGCAGAGGCAGAGGAAAATCCACATATAAGTGGCCCTGCACAGTCCAAACCCATGTTGCTCAGGAGTCAACTGTATTTTAAATTGAAAACAAAAAAGACCTAGTGATGCTGAGTATTTACTTCTATAGGTGCTATTATTCTGTGATTCAACTATTATATATTTTATGTTGAACAATTAGGCCTGATAATTTGATGACATCATTTAAAAAAGATTCTTACAGAGTTTAATTGTAACCTAATTTTTTATTGCTATAAATATAGACAAAAGATTAATTTAAAAACAAGATTGAGAAGTAACTCTAACCCCATCAGTCTTGATATTGAGCCTTTTTATGGTTCTTCTGAAGATATAAATATCTAATTCACCACAATGTTGGTTGATATCACAGTGGAAGCATACTGATGCGTGTAAGCTCTAAACACCTGAGAACTAGAAGAAATGTGAAAGGCCAGTAATGGACGTGAGAGAGCTTTAAGGAAGAAAGTGAAAAAGAATTACCAAGAAACCGAGAGAGAGAGAAAGACAGACTGCGCTGGGAAGCTGTTTAGTAATGACATATGGATTAGAGCCAAAGAGGATTGCTGAGGGCAAAGTTAGTTGAAATATTAGGAAGAAATTATTATTTACAGTGTCTGTAGTTTTGTCTTTTGTTGGGTGGTGACATGAAGGAGTCTGTTAATGTGAGAAAGAAAAATTATAATGGCATTTAAGGTGTGCACATTTTTTCCATAATAGTGAGGCAAATTATAGGAATTTCCAATAGCAAAGTAAAGGCAGAAAAGTGAAGCTCATTTAGTTCAGCCATTTCCTCCCCTTCTACAAAACACACTCCATTTTGAAGAATTTTGAAGAATATACTCCAAACTGCAGTATACAATACTCATTTACTCATTGTAATTATTTTAACCAGAATAAATACTTTGCATTTAGTTCCATTAATCAGTCTGCCCCTCCCATATTTGCTCAGGAATTCTGAATTTTAACAAGGAAGCAATATATATGGTAATGAAAATACTCTTAAAAAGAAACACATTTTTCAAATAGATTATCATATTTTTATTTCTACTATTGTGCAAAAATTACGCTTAGTCTAGAAATTAATTTAACCCACATGATCCCACTCTATTAAATTAAGCATTTATGTTAAATTTGCAAAGTACAGTTAGAAAAATATGTCAAATTCTTATCAACTTTACTCCTTCATTGTTATTTAGTTTGTTTTTCTCTTTTTCTTTTAGTCCCAAATCAATGTAAAGTCTTCTCACTTAATTTTTTCCCTAAGAAGGTCTCCAACAAAGAAATCACATTTAAATGGGTTACAATCATCTATTCAAATGGAACAAATAAAAATCATTAATAATATAAAAAATATTTTAAATTAAGAAGTCATAATATTTAAATATAAAATTAAGTATACTTCCAAAGTAAAATTAAGGTACGAAAGATTCAATTCTAGATATACTTTATATATATTTATGTTTATATACTTATTTATATTTAATTATTGTAACTTACTTTATATTCACACACATAGTTTTATGTTTATGTTTTCATTTTTATTTACACATATTTACCACCTATACCAATAAGTAATCAATGTCTAGGTGTCAATCTAGAAAAATGTATGTCATTCTTATTTATTTTTAAAACAGTTGAAAAAGGCGTGGTTTAATAATAGTCCTTTATCTTATTATATCAAAACATATTAATCTTTGAAAGTAATCATTCAGTTATGTAAGTTCAACTATCATGAAAGCAATAAGAACATATCTGCCTTTTTCATTATGAAACATCTACAGAGAATGAGTCATGTTATTTATTTTTTGTATTTATTGTGTTTATTTAGAATTTTTATTCTTCTTAACTGGATTAAAATTGAGATATGCAAAATTATATAATACTTTTATTAAAATAGATTTAGATAGGGTAGATAATCTTGAAAGTATATCTGCAAATAAAACACACACACACACACACACACACACACACACACACACACACACTCATTTCTCCTGTGGTGGATGAATCATTGTTGTCCATTTTACTGGCCTGAAATTCATTATCTAAGTAAAGCTCAATGTCCATAACTTTCACTACTTCATTCAACAGGTATTTTGGAAGCAGCCACTGTTTTCCAGACTCCACTATGGAGATAGGGCAGTGAACTCAACAAACACACTGCCTGCACTCATACTCAGCTTCCATTCAACTGAGGACGTCAGGAGATAAACAAACAAATTAGAAATCACTTTCAGCAGTGATGAATTCAAGCTAGAAAGACTTAAAGTAGGATGAAGGGGTAAAAGGCATGTGGAGGGTGGAGGGTATCTTACAGTGAGGTGAAAAATAAAAAAAGACTTCTGTATTAGAAGGGAATATGAGCAAAAACCTGACCATGTGGTATTTGGGTGATGTGAGTTCCTAAAAGTTTGAGCAGCAATTTCAAAATCTCTGAATTGGGAGTGTACTAGGCAAGAAGGCCAGTGGGGCTGGAATGAAGTGAAGGAAGAGGGCCTTGGCCAGAGATGACGGGCTCGCCAGGCAGAGCCTTGTAGACCAGGCAAAGATGTTGAATTATTAACAGATCGTGATATAGAGAGCCCATGTGAGTGTAGATCTAGATCACTTTTACTCTTTTATTTATTTTTATTTATTTATTTATTTTGATATGGAGTTTTGCTCTTGTTGCCCAGGCTGGAGTGCAATGGAGGGATCTCGGCTCACTGCAACCTCTGTCTCCCAGGTTCAAGCGATTCTCCTGCCTCAGCCTCCCAAGTAGTTGGGATTACAGGTGCCTGCCAACATGCCTGGCTAATTTTTTGTATTTTTAGTAGAGAAGGGGTTTCACCATGTTTGTCAGGCTGGTCTTGAACTCCTGACCTCAGGTGATCCACCTGCCTTGGCCTCCCAAAGTGCTGGGATTACAGGCATGAGCCACCACACCTGGCCTCGCCTTACCCTTGTAGACCCAAGTGACTCTGGTTGTCTTAAGAGAACAGTAACTAGGAAATAATGAAAGCAATAGCTCAGTTAAGAGACCATAGAAGTAAACCGGGAAACAGATAGAAATGTGGAACGTGATGGTACAGCAACAGAGATGGTGAGAGATTGTGAGATTCTAAATAAATTGTAAAGGAACAGCCAAAACATATTTGTATAAATATTATCATCATCTGGTAAATTACACCAAGCATTTGAGACTTCAGAGCCTAATAAAACACATGGATTTTCTTTCAGTGTTGTAATTTGCTTTCATCTCTAAATATGGATCCACTAGAGGCAATCCCCTATGCTAACCTAGTGTTCTATTAGAAAGAACATTGTAGCCTGCACCCTACATCTATTGAATCTTTAAAAAATAACTCAGGAGGACATTTTTGTAATGAAACTTAAAAACTGTCCACCTATCTATTGTATATATTGTATCGTGTATTGTGTTTATATGCACACATGTACATAGATGCATTACTCAATTAAACATGATAGTATGACTTAATAAAAATGTGAGAAAATATCTCATTGAATAAAGCCCATAAAAATTCAAAATCAATTGAAACACTACAACAATTTTTTAAGTACAGAATGCTTTTGGGTAAAGACTGTAAAATAGTACTATACTCAAGCATATATTCAATAAGTTCTCAGAAAACTTCATCTTGCAATTATCATTAGGAATCCTTAAAGAATTAGGTGTATCTCAATAACTGTGTATGTAAACATCAACAGTAGTGTTGCAGATCCAGAATGATCTTAAATTATTTGTTAAGGTTTTCCCTTCAATATTGCAATACAAGAATTCTGATATAAAATCAGATTCATACAGAAATTACATTTTAAGTATACTAAATGCATTTAGAAAGTCCCAAATATATATTCTACATTTGAATATGTAGTCCTTTTTTAAACACCAGTTATTTTAATTTTTTAGCTAACAGATTTTGAGCTGCAATAGAGGAATGAGGCATGACATGCTTTGTTTTCAGAGTTTTTCTTTTTTTAACGCACTTAAGAATACATTAAAATACTAATGATCTGAAGTACATATTGTTATTACTGTTTTATCTTCAAAATCTTTTATTTGCTTTTCTTTCACTATTTTCTCCTCTGTCTATTTCCTGTATAGAGGGAGGGCTTGAGAAAACAAAAATGATGGTCAGGTTTAGATTAACTGAGAAGACTGAAGAAAGGCATTTTTATTTATTTTATTAACCTTAACTTTGATTCACTTTATGAGCCCTGTGACAGAATGCCATTTCACTGTGACAGAATGCCATTTCACTGTGACACTTCGAATTCAGAGGAACATTATGAAGCTTTATAAATTGCTCCAAGGCATAAGATATTGGTAAAACAAAACAAAACAAAACAAAATAAAAACTGCTTTTATTCCACCCTCACATCCTACCACTCTGAGAAAACTGTAAAAAAAAAAAAAAGCTTGTCCTATATGGTGTTGGGTGTTATAGCAATAAAACACTAATAAAATCAGAATAAAGTTTTTTAAAAATTCAAATTGTCTAGAAATTAAGAGGTGAGCTACATTTACAATGACAGAATAAGAGTTTTAAAATTCAATGGCTTCATTCTTAGTGAAAACCTAAATGAAATTTGTGTTTAGTCACTAGTGTTTTTTTTGCTACTGAATAAATGGGAATAAAATATATACTTCTTATATGTAAACATGGATAGTGAGTTACACGAATTAAAAGTTTTCAAGGACTCAAAATCTAAATATGGTTATAGAAGCACTTGAATTTTCTCCAAAGTGATTGCAAAATTTAAATAATTAAAATAATTAAGTGAATACTTGTTATCCAAAATAATAATTTAATATCCTGTATAATTTTTCAAACAGTTCTCTACCATTTCTACAAAACTTTCTCTTAGAAACTGTTTAAAATGAAGAGTGGTGAAGTTATTTCCTATTTAGTTTTTTTAAAAGTAAACCTTTTTTGGAATTAGAGACAGTGCTTACCATTTTGATGTTACTTGGCAATATTAGTTTATTTCAAATTAACATAACTGTGTGATCACATTAAATCCAAAGCAGAATTTTTCTTTTTCCTTAAAAACGTATGAGATAAATGATATTACTCTTCACAAAGAGCCTTTTAACAAATCGGCTAAGGTGCCAGTTGGTCCCACTGAGCATATATATATTTTATACTTACCCGTAAATCAGTAAAACTCTTTTTCTTTTTTCACGCTTGACAAATGAGTTCACATGATTTGGTAGCATAGCACCATCATGTGGTTAATTTTTGAATAACTCTTAAGAACAAAATGATAATAAAATTTGGAATATTTTACATAGCCAATCATACATGCCTCAGTTTAAGTTTAAAATAATGCTATTTTTAGCCACGCTAATGTACCTAATTAAAGAAAAAACACATGAATGCTGTTGTTTCTATATTATGTTTCTGTTTTTCTAAATATTTGTCTTCACCTTCTTTTGTAATACCTTACCTAGTTTCCCTAAAGTCTCATCAACTGTAACTTAGCCCTAAATCAACGTAACCACTGCAGATTTTTCTAGTCTTGTAGACAATTCTAACTGCACATGCCATAGACTTTTCAAATTCACTGTCTAAAGCTGAGTTCTTTCTTTGCTCCCAACAAAAGTCTGCCTACTCATGTTTTCTCCTTTCCAGTTTCTTAAAGCAAAAATCTGTGATTTTTCTAACACCGCTTCCATTCCTATTGACATCCCCTTGCCAAATAGGGCACAAAGGCTGGTTGCTGATTTTTCCAGAACTCAGGTTAAAATTTTCCTTTCTCCACCTATGAATTTGCCATACAGCCCTCTTCCTGACTCCTTTTTGCCACTGCAAAGGCTATTTTCCCAGCCTCACACGTTATTTTCCTCCAACTAATCTTTTTATTCATGGGGGAATGAAAGAAATCTATTTAGACGTTTAGATAGAAACATGTTCATCTTACTTAAATCAGTTTCTGGTCCTACTGATAGAAAGATAAAGATCAAAGAGTGCATTTTCTATTACTAACTTCTGCACACACACACATTTACAGGCATGTTCATATGCACAAGCTACATTCCAAGTACAGCAAAATCATTGCGATGTCTACCAATGGTATTGTGGTTCTCCTCCTTCTGCATAGAACTCCCTGTCCCATATAAGTATCTTCATGAATTCTTACATGTTCTTTAACATTTTTTTCTCCCTTGCTTCTCAACAAAGGCCTCCTAGAGTCCCTCAGGCAAAGTTGATCACTCCTTTATTTTGTCCCCAAATGTCAACATTTCTGTCAAAGCATCTATGATACTTACAAGGTTCTCATATTGAAAATACAACTCATTCCTCCTACTATATTTTAAGCCCCTGGAGGCACTTTTCCATATCTGTGTTTATTTCCCCATCAGTAAAGGAAATGCCTGAAATATATAAGATGTTTAAAATTGTTGTCGACTAAAAGGACAAATATCTTCTGTTGGTTTACTGTTTTCACTTCTGCTGCATTATTTTTCTTTTTACTCACATAGCATGTAAAGTTTGGAACGTTTTGCAAATAATTTAGAAAAATATGTTTTACTGATTCTACAAATAGGAAAGCTGAAGCTCAAAGAAGGAAGATAATTTTTCAAAGTCACACAGCTTGCTGTAAATCATAGTATATGTTTAGAAAGAGTATACTTCCAATTGTTGTGTACAACAATGCATGTTAGAAAAGATAATTGGCCTCCCCAATAGTCATGATTTATACTGTATGTGGACATGACACATATATTTTATTTCAGCATTTATAGTATGTGACGAAACCCTCTGTAATTTTTTAGGGGAAATATCACTAAAAACCTATGTCTAGAAGCACTAGAGTTTCTTGCAATTCTTTTTTGTTTTGTTTTGTTTGCTTGTTTTTTGTTTATCTTGGTTACTAAATTTATTCCAAAAATTACCGCTAAAATACAGGCATTACTATAATGACCATGATTCTTAAGATAATTTGTTAAAACTACGAAAATTTTGCAGAGTTGCAAAACACTAAAGTATAGTAATAACTTGTCCACAGAAAAATTAAGTGCATTTCTAATAAATAGTTTTGTTACAAATATTTTTAAGGTAAGTTATATAAAATGGATGTTTCTTCATTTAAATATTTTTGTTTACAAACACTTTTTGCCTAGTAATTATATGTTTCTTATAAGCTTATATATTATTAATTTTCTAACAAATGGTGTTGAAATTTTGTCCAAACTAAAATCTACGTTTTAAAACTTAACTACATTTCATTGTTTTTCCCTTTGTTACAGGGACATTCTCACCTGATATAGTGGCAACTTTTGTTCATCAAATACAGCTTTTTTATATAAAATATTGAGTTGCAACCTTTTGTCAATGATGATGAGATATGCATAAACTCTCCCACGTCTCTTCCCAGACAAGAATTGACTACTATATTGATCATAAAACTGAGTTTTAGGAAACCTGCTTTTTCATTAAAATGATGCTTGTTCTGAACATCTTATCTTTATTGTTCAGCCTAGTGTAATAAACCTATTTATAAGAGCTTGCTCCTAGTGTCTGTGCATCCTGGTTCAGCCTGGTATAAATCTGTTTTCTAACTGCTTGTCTTAGAAAGAATCTAGTCTGTTTCAGATAAGCCTACATCCTCGGATCATTTGCGTTCATTGACGGTATTCCTTCCCATTGCCTATTAAGACCTACTAGATAATTGAGAGTGTAGAGCCTTATCACTCAAGGATATATTTTCCTAAAAGTGATGGCTTTACTGTGTTGGTAAAAATAATATAGGCTTACTATAAAAATTGAAGTAATACAGAAGAGTAAAAAGTAAAAAGGGACAAAACCACGGCTACAGTGAGTCATAATATGGCATAACTGGTTCCTTTGCTCAGGGCCTTTTGGGAGGAAATCAAGGCGTGATTGGGGCTATGATCCAATCTAAGCCTTGGAGTCTTTTGTAACCTTACTGGTTCCTAGCAGAGCCAGTTCCTCGTGGCTGTTTGTTTTGTATTGTTGTTGTGTGTTTGTTTTGTTTTTGTGGTAGTTACTACTTCCTTGTGGCTCCTATGACAATGTTGTTAGCTCTCGCCAAATATCAGGTTTCAGTTCCCACAGGCACCCCTTGAGCACTTGCCACTTGCCACATAATCTCCTATAATGACAAATTTACTTCTTATAAGGCAGGACGAAAAGCATCTGCATCACTCCTTTCTTTTAAGGGGTCTCCTGGTTAGATCACACCTCTCAAGTAAAATCTCCTTAATTAACTCAATGTCAAGTGATTAGGGACCCTAATTATATATGCACAACTTATTTTTCCATTAAACTTAATAAGTTTATGTGAGTGAGATGTCATTTAATTTACAGGCCTCTCACACAATGAATGGCAGAGTCATTGCACACAGAGTATAGGTCATTGGGGGCAGGAATATTGGGAGCATCTTAGAATTCTGCCTGCTGAAGCTATCATTTTTTCAAATTCCTCAAAATATCTATAACCATAGCTATCCATTTCCACTCAACATTATCTGGAAGCATGAGGAGCCCTGGAAGAGCCCAGGTAGCTATTCTCTTATAATTTATGCCAAAAAATTGCTTATTTCCCTTTGAAATGAGAAAATCTTTTGGCACTTAACATTTCATTTAGTTTTTTGTGACCTGGACTTCAGCAATGTAAGAACAGAGAAAGTAGTGCTGTAATAGCCCAATGGGCTCTTCCTGCCCATTGCACAGACAAAACCAATTCTCTGAGACCATGGTACTGCAGTAAAGAGCTTATCTGACACCAGGCTAGCCATGTGGAAGACAGAGTTGTTACTCAGGTCAGTCTCCCTGAAGGCCCAGAGGTTAAGGTTTTCCAAGGATAGTTTGGTGGGCAAGGGACTAGCAAATGGGTGCTGCTGATTCGTTGGGGATGTCATCATAAGGGTGTAAAATACAGTCCCCCCCATGCTGAGTCCATCTCTGGGCAGGGAGCCATAGGACTGGTTGAGACATATGCCACAAATCTGGGTGGGGTTAGAGTGAAAAACATCTCAAAAGACCAATCTTAGATTCTGCAATGGTGATGTTATCTGTAGGAGCAATTAGGGAAGTTACAAATCTTGTGACCTCTGTTCACATGATTTGTGAGCAGTAAGAGACTATAGAAACTACCTATGTTTTAGCAGAATTCAGGCCACTATCATAATCCTAATCTTGTGGACTTTCTTTAGTTTTGCAAACATGGTTTTGGCCCAGGACCAAGGAGGGCATCAGTTATAGGGAGGGACTACTATCATCCTTGGTTCAAAGTTAAAGTATAAACTAAATTCCATAGTTAGCTTGGGCTATGCTGGGGAATGAGCCAAGACTGCCAGCCTGTGAGGCTAGAAGCAAGATGGAGTCCGCCATGCTAGACTTCCCTCACTGTCATAATCTTTGCAAAGGTGTTTTCAGTGTGGGAGATATAGGCTCTTGGGCCACAAAAGGTTTGCTGAAAAATTACTGACATGAGGGAGATTGATTAATAGGAGAAAAGGCAAACAAATTATTTAACGTGTATATACAGGTGCCTTCAGAATGAAGACCCAATTTCCCAATAAGTTACAGAATCTAATCACCATCTCAAGGTTACAGAAAGAATGGTGGCCCAGAGCATGGACAAAACCAGGTTGTCTTGGTAAATCACGTTTAGTGGCAAGAAAGGTTATGAGAGGGAGAAAGGAAGTGGCTTGGCTACCAAAGCCACTTGTTATGTAAATGAAACCTCCCTCAGAGAAAATAGATGATAGTTATTTATTTTCAGACTTTTAAAATTGTCAGGCTCTCATTGGCTCCTAGGTCTGGGAAAGGCATAGAAAAGACCTGCCCACGTTAATGGGAATTCCTTACAGATGCAATTTTTCTCCCACAAAAGATAGCTTTGCAAGGCCACTTATATTTTCTGGCCCTGTGGCAGACATTTCAAAATACATCAGAGAAATATCTTGGGGGGTAAAATATTTTTTATTTCCTTCAGTGGCAAAAAACAAAGAAGCAAAATTCCCCCCTTCCCCAATTCCTCCCTTGAGTCTCTGTAGAACAATTGAGTATATCATATTTCATTTCTCTATAGTTGTGGTTCTTACTGCACAACTCAATTAGATGAATTGTTTCCTGAACATTCTGGTGCCACTAGTCTTCCCTTATAGAAACAACCTAAAGAGAAAGAAGCTGCTCAACTAAATTCTCTTTAGTCAATCATTTCTTCCCCTTTGAGAGGTTCATAACCATTAAATGGGCTCCAAGCCATGCCACAAAGTTCTCTATTTATTGTGCAAGAGATAAATTAGTTCAACCTCACAATAATGTATGTCTATCATAGAATATGATTTATTTTCTAGCACTGAAACTAATCCTATTTATTCTATATTTATTTCAAATGCTGGGATTTTTATTGATTGTGAAACTAAAGTTCATTCCCCCCAAAAATGGAGGGTAGTCAGTCAGATGTGTAGGTAAATTCAATTAAAGACAGATCACTGCTGGTTCTCTTTGCCCTTTCTGAGCTATATACCATTTTGTCAAGTGGGATTGCCTAAAAGTCAGGGTCACGAAGAAGTAAGTCCACCTAGGAGACTATGGTGGCATTTCTCTTACAATTTTCTTTAGTTCTTTGATCACTACAGGCTATAAGTTTTCAGTTGCAAAAAATCTGTATGTACAGGATTCTTTTATCTTACTCTGTCTCCCTAACAACCAGATATTTGCCTGCTGTTATAGGTCAGGGGTCCTTAAAAGGCATGGAATACATCTCATCTCTTTTAAAGGTTTCAAAATTCTCCTTTCATGTCTGGCTTGAAAAGGAGTTACCTGTAGAGAGTCAAGATTATCTAGATAACAGTAGTGTGTAATCAAGTAGGGAAAAAAAATTAAGATCTTATCTAGAAAGAATTTGCCAAATCATATAGATAATTAGAAGTACTTCAACATATGAGAAAGTAGAGAGGGAAATGGGGAATGATTGGTACAAACGTTTACATTCTAAGATAGAAGTTAATTTTTGCCTAAGAAAGGGAGTAAGTATGAGCCAGGTCAGCTCAATTTGCTTTCTAGGCAAAAGGAACCCTAAGGTGATAAAAATCAAAGTAGTCTTATACTACAAGTTAAGGATACCTAACATAGACCACTTATATTGTTTAACATTTATAGAGCATTTAGAGTTTGGAAAAACAGAAAACATATTTTTATATGTTCCTTAATTTGAATTAGCTAGTGCACGCTTCTATCTTACACATCATTCTCTCTCCGATATCTTCTAACATATTGAATATCTCTTAAACACATGTAATTATAGAGAACTTGGTACTTCTTCAAACTCACTCATTAAGCAAGATGGCAATATTCTGTAATTTGTTGAATGAATTGAGAGGCAAGTCTTGTCTTTTCATCTTTCCATCCTTACAGGATGCATGTCAAGCCTTGCCACCACGTAAAACATCTATGTGTGTGTGTGTGTGTGTGTGTGTGTGTGTGTGTGTGTGTGTGTGTGTGTTTTAATTCACTATAGAATGATTTTATTTATTAGAGGTTTTCTCTTTTTTCTAATCTAAATTTACTCTCGTTAATAACTCAAATTACTATTAATTCACCACTCAGAGGCATAAAGAATAATCCTAAGTAATGTCAACATAATGGCCCTTCAAGTATTTGAAAATGTGTGTCTTTCCTTGCCTTGGCAGTAATTGTAGTGGTTTCTCATTTTTGGCTTTGGTAATATTTTATCATTCTAGTCTTGCAATAAGTTGTCTTTTCTTGAGTCTGATTTCTTCAACAAAACACAGTATTCAAGCTTTAGGCTGATCAAAGGAACATCACTGGGTGATCCTCTCTCTTTTTTTCAGATACTACACTTCTATTCATGTCATCAAAGGCCACATTATCAACCATCGCATATTATGCATACTATTCTTTGCTTATATAGGTATTAAGAGAAATCAAAATTTCTAACAGGAGAAATATGAAAATGAAAGGAAATCAATATTATAAGTTAACAGGTATGAGGTTAGCAAATTAAAATATAGAAAAGTAAAAAGAAAACATTGATTACAAAGCAGATAAACACATAAATAAAAATATGATAAAAGGAATACCTATAGGGAATTAATAAATATAGTTCCTGCTGCATAAAAAAGTATGGTGAAAGAGACTGATGTCATATTCAAGTGAAATTGCTGTTTTGTTATAATAAATTCCATGAAATTGTGAGTTTTCGAAGATTTAAAAGTGTTTTTTTGTTTTTGTTTTTGTTCCTCAGAGGAAATGCATAAAATGGCAATCATATCTTAGAAGGAGAAAAATATCCATCCTTCCTTTATTTTCCCCAGGTGTACTACAGTAAAGGAACAGGTACTGACACAGCAATTAGCAACTTACTGGGGTCAGACTTGAAGGAATTCCTTTAGAAAACATAAATTTTTAAAGGTCCCAGAAAATCACCATGTTAATGTTAAATTCGTGTTGTCTCAGATTTTCTTAGATGATCAGAGGCCAGAGCCATTGACCTTAAAATTATCACTTAAACAAAGCACCACAGCAGCACCATATTTCAGGAATAGTGTATTTTCAGTTATTGTGGACATAAAATTAATATTTAGAGTGAGGGTGCAAGTAAGCAGCGATAAGCTAAAACTGAGCATCCGTGACTCCATAGAAAATGACTTTCTATATTATGTTTCACAGCCTTCTCTAATTTAGTCATATATATTAATATATAAAGCCACAATTCTTGGTAATGTGTATTGATGATGTGTTACCGCGCCCATAATTTATATATACAGTTCTGAGAACACACACACACAAAAATTCTTTTTAAATTAGTACTATGTATGCTTTTAAATACTGATACAGACATTTACTAGTAAAAAAAATAAAAAAAGATCTAGACATCCAAAAGTATTTAATATAAGATGCCATAAAATAAGACAACAAAATATGGAGTTTTCATGGGACCACTTTTTCAATACCAAATTTACAGCTAGAATCTAGAGTATCTTCAATGATCCTATTTCATTTTTATTCATTTTTTTGTTTATCATTGCTTTGTTCCACTAGATGTCAGTATTGGATAAGAGCAGAGAAATGCTTCCCTGAACATCTGTTCTGTTGCTGTTTTAACTTTGCTCATATAAAATGATTAAGCCCTACCTAGCATGTATGTCTGCACGTAAATGATGAGTTTTTCAAACATAGGCAACTGATGATCTTTACAAGTTACCCAGAAACTTCTACATGGACGTGATTCTTTTCTTAAAATGTTTACCTTGCTTCTGTAATCCCAGTCCTTTGGGAGGCCGAGGTGGGTGGATCACCTGAGGTCAGGAATCCGAGACCAGCCTGGCCAACATGTTGAAACCCCGTCTCTACTTAAAATACAAAAATTAGCCAGGCATGGTGGCGGGCGCCTGTAGTCCCAGATCCTCCGGAAGCTGAGGCAGGAGAACCGCTTGAACCCCAGAGGTGGAGGTTGCAGTGAGCCGAGATCACACCACTGAGCTCCAGCCTGGGAGAGAGGGAGAGACTCTGTCTCAAAAAAAAAAAAAAAAGAAAAAAAAATGGTTTGCCTTGTGCTGCCCTTACCCACTAGTTATTAAGAAAAATGAAAATTTTAAACCAGTATAATTGATAATAACTTGCAAATTGCTCTGAAGTAATGTTCACCATTTCTGCCACATTCTATATAAATTTACTCCTTATTCTTAATTTGTCCTCACTACAGCCTTTAGATTTTGAAACAAAGAAGGCATACACTTTCAAAGTTGAGGCTTCCAACCTTCACCTTGACCACCGGTTTCACTCGGCGGGCCCTTTCAAAGACACAGCTACGGTGAAGATCAGCGTGCTGGACGTAGATGAGCCACCGGTTTTCAGCAAGCCGCTCTACACCATGGAGGTTTATGAAGACACTCCGGTAGGGACCATCATTGGCGCTGTCACTGCTCAAGACCTGGATGTAGGCAGCAGTGCTGTTAGGTGAGAAAAAGAAACATTTTTTTTCTATGTTTCAGGAAAACAAAACAAAACAAGAACAAAAACCAGAGAACCAATTCTCTGTCCAAAACTGCATGATGATTTAATTATAGAATATGATGCTTGAAAACATAATGACTTTACATAAGAATAGAGGAAATGTTATAGGATTGGGGGGAAAACATATTATCAACTATTGCAGCAGTGTTTACTAGTGGTGTTATAACCAATAGAGGTCTGATTCTCATGTCACTCAAGGTAACAAATCTCAACTCTTCATGTATAAACGGGATTTAATAACATAACCTTTTAGAGAATGATTCTCATAATTAGTAATATTAAGATACTTTGAAAGTGCCTAGAGTATAATAGACATTAATACATTTTATAATTACTCTAAAATTTCTGACCCCTTACCCAAAGTTAGTGTTTGAAAAAGTTATTGCAATTTGCATGTCATTTTTTCCAGTGTAACAAACTTGTCTACTGTTGTTGAGGTGAAATGAGTAGAGACACAGTTAGAGTCAGTCCTAGAGTAAAATGAATTTATGGAATTGCTCAAAGCAAATGCTTTGCAAGAAGCTGCTTCCTGCTCATCTCTCTCCCACTGTCACTCTCTCTCAACACATAAAGTCCACTAGTACTATCAAGACATAATACAATTTCCCTTTTCCTCATTTATGCATTGACCCAGCAGTATGTTTTGAGACTTTATTTCCCATTCGTTCTATTGTATGCTTGAATTTTCTGCCGCGTGCCTACAGCTGTTGAGAAACCAATTAAAAGACAAGTATGAGATTTGTTCCTGAATCTTCTGTCCCGAAAGAAGCTTACTATGCAAGAACCAAAATAAGAAAATATTAAGTAGGTTTTTAAAGCAAAAACACTTTATTCTATTGACATACAACAGACAGATATCTTGTAAGATTTTACACTATGTGACAAGTAAAGATTAAAACAATGGATCAAGTGTTCAGTAGTATCCTTAACACAGTAATTGCATATAGTGACATCTCAGGAAATGGCTTGACAGCATACGTAACTTGCTCTTTGGATTTATCTGAATCCATCACCTATAATTACATGAATACTACCTCAGTCAGTTCTAGCTGCTACCATCCATTAACACATACTGGATGTATTAGTTCGTTTTCACACTACTATAAAGAACCACCCTGAGACTGGGTAATCTATAAAGTAAAGAGGTTTAATCGATTCACAGTTCCACATGCCTGGGGAGGCCTCAGGAAACTTACAATCATGGCGGAAGGAGAAGCAGGCGCATCTTACATGGCAGCAGGCAAGACACAACGTGTGAAGGAGGAACAGTCAAACAACTTATGAAACAATCAGATTTTGTAAGAACTCACTCACTATCATGAGCAAAGCATGGGGGAACCACCCCCACTCCCATGAGCCAATCACCTCCCACAAGGACCCTCCTTCAACATGTAGGGATTACAATTCTAAATGAGATTTTGATTGGAACCCAGAGCCAAACCATATCACTGGATGACTTAAGTAACAAACACAGTTCTGGAGGCTAGACAGTCCAAGATCAAGCGACCAGCAGATCCAGCGTCTGGTGAAGACCGGCTTTCTTTTCAGCAGGTGGTCATCTTCTCCTTGTTTCCAGACACTGGAGAAAGAGAAAGAGAGCTCTCTCTAGAGTCCCTTTTGTAATGGTAAAAATAACTTCATGAGGGCTCCATCCGGATCAACTAATTACCTCCCAAATGCCCCATCTTTTAATACTATCACATTGAGGTTTAGGATTGCAAGATGTGAATTTTGGGGGGATACATATCATCTCATAAGATTCCAATTCTGCCCACCCCAAATTTATGTCTTTCTTACATGCAAAATGCAGACATCCTAAGGGCCCCCAAAGTCTCAACTTCTTCTAATATTAATTAAAATCCAAAGTGTCATCTAAATATCATCTAAGCCAAACAAATGTGAGACAAAAGGTACAATTCATCCCGAGGCCAAATTCCTCTCCAGCTGTGAATCTCCAGCTGTGAAACCAAATAAATTATGTGTTTCCAAAATACAATGGTGAAGATATTCCTATTCCAAGATGTAGAAAGAGGAAAGAAGAGAGGGGTGAGAGGTCCAATGTAAGTCCAAAACCTAACAGGGGAAACTCCATTAAACCTTAGTCTCAAACATAATCCTTCTCTAGCTCTATTCTTCACCTCTCAGGCCCACTAGAATGGATGTCCCACTTTTGGACTCACTAGGGTGGCAATATAACCTCCACCACTCGGAGGGACACCACCCATGCTGTGGTTCTCTGCAGTGTCCTCACTCATGTGCAGTGGTCACACTCTCAGGGCTCCACTGAGCGACCCTACCCCAGTGTGTCTTCTAGGCATTGATCCCAATGTTTAAAATCATTATGGAAGCAGCCATTCCACAAGCCTGGTGACATCAAATCACTGTTGGGGTGATTTGGAATTCTTCCCTCGATTTGGAGAATTATGAATGCTCATAGCTGAAGAGCTATGTGATGCTATTTAACAGAGCTGAAGAAGTTTGATGATCTTCTTTCATTTTACCACATTTCTGTTTTCTTTAGTACCAGCTGGCAGTGTTTCTGCTATTATAATCTCATCTGTTTTCCTGGCTTTTTTTGAAATAGCAGATGAAGTTCTGGTTCACACCTATACAAATCTTCTTATTAAGTAATCAATCTATCAACCCTTAATGTTCTCTTCTAAACA
Organism: Homo sapiens; assembly: GCF_000001405.40. Lineage (NCBI taxonomy): Eukaryota > Metazoa > Chordata > Mammalia > Primates > Hominidae > Homo > Homo sapiens. The sequence goes on along the minus strand of NC_000005.10, from coordinate 21,799,443 downwards.
CACTTTCTCATTATTTTGGAACACGGACGGGGCTGAGATATTTCCAAGTCCTTAAGCTTTGGTTTCTTTTTACTTAAAAAATTCATCTTTATTTCATTTCTTTTATTTCACATTTTACTGCAAGCAGTTGTGAGGAACCAAGCTACTCCTTTAACACTTTGCTTAAAAATCTCCTCAGCTAAATATCTAATAATTTCATCACTCAAAAGTCCTTCTTTCCACAAAATACTAGACCATGAACACCATCCACCTAACTTCTTTGCCACTTACTGACCTTTCCTCTAGTTTCTAATAACATGTCTTTATTTCTCTCTGTTAACATATCAGAATGGCTTTTACTGTCCATATATCTACCAACATTCTGTTTATGACTGTTGAGTTGTTATTTGGGAGGACAGAATCTTTCTCTACAGTTCTCTTTTCTTTCTGAACCTTTAACAGAATATCCTTGAACATTCATAATTTTAGCACTTCAAAACTCTTCCAGCCTGTACCCCTTACTCAGTTTCAGAGCCACTTCTACATTTTTAGGTATTTTTTATAGCTGCACCCCCACCGTTTGGTACCAATGTCTGTCTTAGTCACTTAAGGCTGCTATAACAAATTACCGTTGATGGAGTGGCTTCAGCAAAAAACATATATGTCTCTTGTTTCTGAAAGCTGGAAAGGTTATGTTCAATGTGCCAAGAGATCCATTGTCTAATAAAGGCCTGGTTTCTATTCAGCAGAAAGTCATGTCTTTGTATCCACACAGCAGAAAGAGAAAGAGAGCTGTCTGGGTCTTGGTTAGAAGGGCACTAATCCTATTTATGAGGACTCCACCCTCATGACCTCCTTACCCCCACAAAGCCTATCCATATATCATACATTGGACATTAGGATTTCAACATATGAATTTTGGGGAAACATAAACATCCAGTCCATAACAAATGCTTTTATTCTTGAAGAGAATCAGTAATCAGGAGAGAACTCTAAAAAAGCTCATCTGTCTTTTAAAAAGAAATAAGTATAACAATTACTGAGCACCCGTACATTTCAGGCTGAATGCTAACCAATTTACTCACTGAATTCAAACTATTATTTTACATTTCCATATTACAACATGATTCACTTCCAGTTAAGTTCCAGAAAACCATATATGGTTTATAGGGCTATATGCAGACACACACACACACACACACACACACACACACATCCACATATACATTCAAATATTTGTTAGGTATTCTCCAAAATCTGCTGCCTTGGTAATTATTATGTATTAACCTAACATTATTTATCAGTCTTTTATTTCTGAAGCCCTAGGATGTTCTGTTGATAATTAGAAAAGTAGAAGATGCCTGGTGAATAGATTTACAGGTCTTTTTTAAATGTGAACAGTTATTGAAAAAAAATTGAAGGTTGCAACAAAAATAATTAAAAGGTAAATGAAGATTAATTAAAACTCTCTGCAGGTCAATAAATAAGAATTTACATAGAGAAACTATGTATCTAGAGTAGAGAACATGCTATGTTGTTTAATTTACTGTTTGTTGTATTTTGAAGACATAAAAGAATGATGAGGCCAAAATATTAAGAAAAACATGATTTTAAGGCAATACTTAAGAACTAGAAAAATCAAAAATTTCCTAAGTAAAAAACATTATTAGGTAAAGATACACGTTCCAAATTCAAGAAAATTGTTACAGTCAAGACCCTGGTGTGAGGAACAGAGAAAGGTTAACATGAAAGAAATTCTCCTGCTGTAAGTGTGTTTTTTATTTTGTACATTTTATGTCACAGTAGCTAGTATCTGACAAGTGCTACTTTATATGAAATAAAGTAGTATACCAAGTCTTAGTTCTAATGAGTCGCAGTCGGCCCACTTGACACAGATGGATCTAATTGATCTCCACAAGGGGTTGTCAAAAGACAGAGCTGTTTTTGAATCAACATGAAACCTGTCTTTGTTCCATGTCCTTGGAGTGAACAACAAACTGGAATAGTGTCAGCTAAGGAAACATGGGGTATGAGGCATCATCTTTCCTTGTTCTGAAAATGTGTTTACCCGCTTAAGAATGAGAGTGAAAACACCTTGTGAAAACTAAGAATTAAAGTGTAAAATTACTCGACATGGTTAGATATGCTGTTTGTTTTGTTTTCCTTTGCTTAACTGTCTTTTCACAGAGTTATTGTGCAAGATATTAATTTAGGACCTTGGGTATTTTATCATCATCATCTTCATCATCTTCATCATCATCATCATCATCATCATCATCACTAAGCACAGCAAAGAGCCACATCAATGCCACAACCAAGGACTGAGCCCGTTTTGAAGAAAGGTTCTCTCAGGTTTCATGACTAGCAAACACACCCTGTCTGGTTCCTTACTCTCACCCTTTGGCCCCAGCTTAATTTCTAGTTATTCTTCACTTTTCTAGCCTTCGCCTTTTGATGCACTAGATTTCTTGTTTCTAATGCTGTATATTTGTTTGAGGTGAACACTGCTATTATATAGTTCACAGAAACAATTTCTAGTGAGTCAAACGAGACTGGATTAAGTATATCCAACATTAGTGAAGTAGGGGCTTTTCATAACAGCAAGTTCTTGAGTTTAGAAAGTTAAAACTGTTGATTATCCAGTTACACTGAAAGATATTATTTACTTTGAGTATTAGTGATTTGGGTTACAGAAAGATTTCAGTGGGTAATTTTGCTCAATATGTACCACTTTTCTTTTGTTCCAAACGTATAAAAGTCTGTTATCCTTGGAATAAATTTAAAAATAGAACTTAATCATATTTTTATTAAATTAAAAAAATAGATTATTTAATTTTAATCCATGTCAAAAGAATTAAATAATAACAGAATGATGATGTAAAGAAAATCTATTTTATGTATATAGACTTGCATATATAAACTCAAAATTACAGTGGTTAATAGTGCAATTTAAAAGTGTACAGATTGTTCCCCGACTCATAAAGATTCATCTTACAATGTTTTCACTTTGCAATGGTGTGAAAACGATATGCATTCAGTAGAAACCATATTTTGAGTACCGATACATTCATTCCTTTTTCCCCTTCAGTTCAGCATTCAATAAATTACATAAGATATTCAACTCTTTATTATAAGACAGGCTTTGCGCTAGATGATTTTGTCCAAATGTAGGCTAACGTAAGTTGCTCAAACAGGTTTAAGGTAGACTAGGCTAAGCTAGAATGTTCAGGAGCTTAAGTGTCTTAGATGCATTTTCAACTCAAGGTATTTTCAACTTATGATGGGTTTGTTGAGATGTAACCTCATGGTAAGTCAAGGGGCATCTGTATTTGTCATCTTATCTATGCTTTTGTTTAATGATCTTTCTAACAAAAACCCGTCACTTAAAATCAAGTAGGTAATTTAAATAATAATCAGAAAACATTTTCAACTACCAAAAGTAGAATACAATGTTAAATTATACTAATTAGTTGTTAAAATAAAAATGCCTGTTTCCACAAAAATGATCTTATATTCCAAATCTAGTCTTTTTACCACACTTTTGTAAAAATTGCTGTAATCAATTGGAATTGATTTTTAAGAAACTCTCGATTAAGAAAGTATCAAAGTAGCTGGTTTGCATTTGAAGGTCCTTTTCAATATGACAGAAATCTTAGCATGTGTGCAAAAACGTAAGTTCAGACACAGCACACTTTGGGAGAGAGAAGAAAGAGAGGCCCAGCTATCATGTGACATTCTATAGCAGTATGTATAACTTCTATTAAATGTTTGAAAAAATGCCCATGCTCTCTTTCTCATCTACCTCACAAGATTTTTGTGAGAATTAAATGAAGTATTGGTATAAATGTTTCTAGAGCAATATCTGGCATATTTAGTGCTACATATGTGATTTATTTTCTTCTGCTTCCCATTAGTATATAAACTGCACAGCAGCAGAGATTTTTCTACATTTTTATTGATAGATCCCACACACCTAAAATATTGCCTAGCGCAAGTGGATAGTTAATAAATATTTGTTCAATGAATGACTTGACCTATATAATACTAATTTCAGCTAAGTATTAAAATGGCATAGTACTCATTTGTGTTTTCTGCATGAAGAAAAATCAACACAGTTACTTCCTTTATAAATCTAGAAAAATATCTGAGAAACTATGATAATTTCAGTATTTCAACCCTCAGATTTGTTCCAAAATGTTGGATCACAATTGTCTCTAATAATTAACTGATAGGAAATGCTATCTTAAAAAAAATCACATTTATTTTTGTATGGATTATGATCCTGTAGCTTTGCAAATAATCATGAACTTGTTGTCAGATGCTTCTTTGATGATTTTGAGAATATATACATTATATTAAGATTCACATTGTGAATACTAAAGGAAATAGATATGATATGGAGGTCTCAAAAAAGATGAACTCTTTTATCTTAATGAATGTTCTATAATATATATGGATAATATTCTTCTTCCAATACCTATATGAATATTTAGTACTTTCTCAGAAAGCATGCCATGAAAAATAAAAGTAATTTTCTACCAACTGAATAATAAAATGTAAAATGAGAAAAGCTGATTAGAGTTATACAAAATGAGAAATTGGGCTCTACATAAAAAAAAACATTTTAAAGTTCACATTAAGAAAAAATAGTGTGTTAGTTTCTATAACAAAACTATTCTTCATGAATTACTTTACTAATTCTAAGTGAAGGCAACTGCTAGCTTTTAACAATAGCTAGGACTCAAAGTACCTCTAAAAAATATATTATAAATTCTTAGATCATTTGACTGTATACAGGAAACAAATATACAGAAACAATGCAAAACATATTAAATGAAAAAAATAGATATTTTGTACAAATTGATGGACATAAAAGAAAAACAGAAGGTTTGATATGGAATACCTCAAAGAAACTCAGAAACAAACAAACCAATAAAAGGAGATGTAGAATTTAGAAACTGCAGGAGTAGCTGAATGTGTTAATCTCTGGGGATTTTGCCCTACTCATCTTTTTCACAACTGTGGTATACTGCGTGTTTAGGACCCGCAAGAGAATTATTTCTCTGAAGTTGGTTTTTGCATGAAGTCTCTTTGCAAATGTGCTGATGGTATTTAGCTTGTATTAACTCCATTTATAGAAGCAAAGAAACTGAAAAATCATTTTACTAAATGAAAAACAAAAAAAAGCAAACAAGAAAGAGAAGAAGAAAAAATTTGCTAAGAAAATAGAGATCAACTGGACTACAATTTGCCAACAGAGGTTAATCCCCATAAAGTTCATGCCAGAACACCCAGGTGTATGAGCCCTTAAGAAAAAAAGACATTATATTTACACATCTAGATATAGATCTACCTATATTCGATTTGAAAAAACTCACATGCACATATCCACATACATATACATGCTATATTTTATTAGTACATTGCATTATACACTAGAATATATCTTCTACATCAAGAAAAATTTTTAAATTAATTTTGCACAAAGTATATGAAACCTTATTCAGTATAGTCCCAACTATATAATAATAATATTTATATATTAAAATAGTTATTTTAAATATATAAACAATAAATAGAAAATGCTCTTCTTGAAAAATACTGTAATAATCAGTGATCAAAAGGACACAAGAGAAATGAATCATTTCATAAGCTGTTCCAGAGCATTCAGTTAAGGGAATATGAGTAACTTTCAGAGCGCAAATTAGCTAAACAGTAGACTAATCACAAGCAGGAAATGCAAGCTTAGGTAGAAGGAAAAGGAGGAAAATAAAACCTTTCTTTCAAATATGATGTCTATATTTAGGTTTCAAATGGTAAGCAGCTCTACATAAAATGGCACCATTCTTCAGAGCCATTTGGCCATGACCTAATAAGAGTAAATAAATCCAGTGGTGACTTGGAATAACAGGCACTGGACTTAGTTCAACAAAATAGTTATAATGAAGCTCTCTCAAAAGGACTTCAGAATAAATACGTTTGAATATTCAAAAATGTAAATTAAGGTATTCCATGTTTGAAATATGACCAGGACATTATCAATAAGAAAAGTCAGATAAAATAATTCAATTTACACATATAAGTGCACTGTATTATGAATAGAGCAATATATTCAGTAAGGAACTCTTCATACTTGAAAAAAACTCCCTGTATAATGAACAAAACAAAATAGTTTGTTTGCTATTCTCATTTGAGAGAAACTGTTAACACCAATTCAAATAGGTAGTAAGTAAAGTTTAAAAAATGGTACAGTTTTGTAAGAAGGAAGAAATAGATGCTGTCTAGAGGGATTCAGCAAGTCTTAATGGGGAGAACATGAGCAAAGCAAAAAGGTGCCTTTGATTTCTGAGGAAATTAGGAAAGTTCTGTGACATGAATGGGAGGAAAAAAAATTGAAATGATCTGACAACCAAGTCCAAAATAAGGGACTTCTGAAGTCCCTAGAGTCAAAGATACTTCTAAGCAGAAGATATCAGATATCAACGTTTACTGCACACATTCTTTACTTATTTAGTCAGGTATTACAGTCTGCATTTTTTAATATCTGATAAAACTGAGACTCAGGATGTTTAAAGCTGTTAAGTACAGAGCCTGGACTTAATCATTATTTGTCTAAACCTCATTTTCTTTCTATTAGAGCAAGCTGCTTCAAGGTGTCCGCAGAGTAAACTAAAGGACAGGTGTAAAGCTTTGGGGGCAGAAGAAGTTCTTGTCAAAGATAAAGTTATTTTTGCTCTGAGTTAAAGACAAAATACAGTGGTCAGATAACCAACAGAATGGCAGAGGAGAAGAGAGTTTTGAAGTTAACTTCCAGTTCCGTAAGAAACCGTGTATGACTGTTCCAAGAAAAAAAAAAAAAAAAAAAAGGGCAGAGGAAAGCTTAAGCAACTTGGAGGAAAATACAAATACAACAATTATAATTTCAACATTATGTAGATTATGGTATATTTCTTCTTCTTTAGAGATCTATTTTAATCATATTGCATGTGTACAAATGGGAAATTTAAAGACAGAAGACTTACTTTTATTAAATGATATACTTTTGTAAATAGTTTCTCATCAAACATTTAAAACAAGCAATAGAAACCATCTAAACCATTTAAGATACAACTTTTAAGTCTAGTAAGGGGAAAGTAAAAATGAGGAGGAAGATAAGAAAAAAGAGAAATTGATAGGAAAGTAGGAACTGGTGGTTTAAAAAGTTTGAGAGGAACATAGCGGGATTTATTTGTGATTGCTGATGGAGAAATTACAATTGACATATTGTTGCAGGTGGCTTAGGTACTCAGTAAAGTGTTTGTTAAAATGAATTGAACTGAATTTACTTTCTTTAATTGTCTTCCAAAAGGCAAAACAAAAACATTGGCAACTAAGAAGAGATAAGAGTAAAGACAGTTTGATCTACTATCATTATCTTAACAAAATAACATTTTCTACTTTGACCTGTGTCATTATTAGCAGATTTTTATTGTTTAAACAATGAGGTGTAGTACTTTCAGAGGAATTTGGTACCATCAAGTTCCTTTTACACATGTAGTTGAGAACTGGGGCAGGGTCAAAGTTAGCGTTTCCATTGATGGTGAGAAAATTATTAAGCAAATTGAAAAGTACAATTTTAAGGGAAATGCTTACCTAATAAATAGAATAAAAATTTTAAAGGCGTTTCTGAAAACTAATTTACAGTATAGGAATAAAACCATACTCTCTCAAATGGCCTGCGCAGACTAGGTTAATGTTTTAATTTCTGATTTCTATTCAAATGTTAAAACCTTTTTTTTTTTTAGCAACAATCACTGTACATAATTGTATGAAATTAGGTTTATTTTATTATATACAGATTATAATCATATAATCGTTTTTTCACTTAAATCCCATCTACTCACCAAATAAGTATGAGATGAGTCAAACATACTTTCTGTTTAAATATTTTGCTCATTGAAACTCATCTGTTAGGCCAAATTACACAGTTCATGTTATACTGTTGTGATTAGTTGCAATTCCAATAATATTTTATCCTTAGATTGTAAGTAGACTGTTGCAACCCAACAGCAGAAACACGATGTTTCACTCTGTGAGGCTGTAACTCCTCAAAATTTCTATGCCTTTAAGAACTGGGCCATATCTTTTCCAAAATTGTCCAGAAAATGTAGGAATGGTTTCATTGCAAGTTCATTGATGGTCTTTTCTTATAAATGTCTCTCAGTTGCTATACTGGATAAAATATCACAATAGAAAATATTTGTGCTTTAGTCAGGCACAGGTTTTAGTCAGTCACATATAGACAGAGCACTGGGAAGATGCCAGGAGCTAGTATTAGGCCTGTAGTCTGAGACCTGGCTAACTATGAGAAGATGTTGAAGATGCTTAGCTGAGTAGGAACTGTTCAAATGGGTGTCAGCTATATTCCAGAAGATATAAAGCTTTGTTGGAGGGTATCATGCAGAGAAAGGAGCTTGCTAAGTCTCACAAGGTGACAGAGATAAAAAATAGATACCAGAAAGTAGCGAATGACAGTCAAACAGAAGCACCATTGTGTGAAATAGAGCCTGGATATTTGTGTTTATGGTTTGTACTGTACGAGTTTGTGTGGGAGCTTCATAGTTCAAGTACTAGAAAGTTGAAGGTTATGTGTGCCACGACTTGATGCCAGATAAGAAAATGTGTGGGTAAGGAAGAGTTTTTATCTGGGAAGTAATACAAAATAGTATGAAAGGAGAGGGAGAAAGGGGGAAAAGGACATACACATACACTCACACGCTGATACACATGACTCTATCCCTATGCAACATATACTTTATCTTATTTCATTTTTATAACAACACTCATGGTTACACTATTAGGGAGGTATTATTTTCCAAATTTTATAGAACATAAGGAGAATAGATATTGGAATGAAAGATCCCTAAACTAATTGCACAAGGTAAGTGAATAAAATGTATATCACCCTAATTCTCTCTATACAAAAAAATTACTGTGCTTCATGCTACATTTCATTGCATCTCAGTGGTGGTTAATCTATGTATTGCAAATTCTACTTCAGCATTAGGCTGAATGAACTAAAAAATTAAATATGTTTACTGAGCTTGCAAGATATTGGATCCTAGTGGATTGATATACAGAAACACATAACTAAGAGATAAACGTATTATTTGATGTATATATTATGTAAGTCTTTGAATTTTAAACTCGTTATCAAAAATACCTAAAATTACATTTAAACATAACCTGTATATGTGGTGATTCACTGTATGAAGTTAGACTTCTGTTTGAATCAATTTGTTAAATTATAACATATGCTACAAATATTAACTATAAACAAGGTGATCAATTTTCCCAATCTTATCTGGGAAAACTCTTGAGGAGTTTTCTGGGCCTAAAGACACTCACTGTAAAAACTGAGAAAGTCCTCATCAAATCAGAAATAATTGATTGTCCCAAATAAGACAGTCTTAAAGCTCTAAATATGTTCCCTTGATGTAGAAATATGTAACTATTATACAGGCAGGAAGAATAGGATCTGTGCAAAGAATTCAATACAATATTTAAGTGGCAGGTGCTATGTACAAACAACATCCCAGGTCCTTGGCAACACAGAGATGAACAAAGCTAGTCTCTGCTCTCAGGAAATTTAACAAACTTTGGGTAAGTAGGATAATCACGTCACATACACAAAATGTATACAAGCTGTGCTATATTTTCCAACATCTACATAATAATTGAATATTATTAGCATTAAAGAATGATCTGTTCATTGCAGAGATTTTCAAAGATGGAAGTAAAGAAAAGCTTTGAAAAATATCATGCAAGTTAACTGGAATTCACAAGAAAAGAGTATGGGATTTTCAAAAATGAATGGAGTTTCCACTTAATGAATGGCAGCAGGATGCGATCTATAGACACACTCCCCAGTGAAACAAAAATAAATGACATTTGTTTCTTTAAAAAATAAAAGACGCTCATTTACAGTCTCTGGAAAATTTTCTAAGAGCATGCAGCACATAAAGAACAATTTATTCAAGAAAAGCTACTAAAACTTGGTAAGAATAGCAAAAGACAGTGACACTTAACCCAGAACCTGCTCCCCGCTCCCACTCCTATGTCCCAGCTCGGCTTGATACAAATGCCCACCTGGCAGGTGTGGTAAAAAGACATGGTTTCTCTTTCCTTCGCAACCAGTCAAGGGATATAATATCTTACCAGGAGGGGCAGGATGCAAACATTACATAAAACTATAAAAATTAAAAATTGTTACAATGTTTTATTGCACTTGTGACATATATGTATGTAACATATATAATACATACAATTATCACACATAACTACATAGAAGAAACATTTCTATATTTTACTCTAATTTAGTATGAATGTGAATCTGATGAGTTAAGTCATATATGGCAAAACTTAAAGCAGATATTAAGAAAATAAATTATATAATAAAAATCATTAAAGAAATAATTTCACACTAGAAAATATCCACTTATTGTAAAAGAAAGGAGTAGAGAAGAAATACACAAAAAAGACATGAGAAATATAGAAAACCTAAAAATAAAATGGCAAATGCAAATACCATTATATCAATATTAGCTGTTGAATGGGAATGGATTAAACAACCTAATCAAAAGGAAAAGATTATCAAAGAATAAAAACTGATGACTGTATGAAGTGCATGTCTGTGGCTTAATGGTACCAAAGTCAGACAACTTGAAACCTTGATTCTACAAAAACTCATGTGCTCATGAGAAGAGAGAAAGTGATAAAGCAAACGTGGGAAAATACTAACATAATAAGTGTAAGTGAAAGATGTTTGGAACTTTATTGTGCAATTCTTGCAACTTTATTATACATCTGAAATATTTTAAAAATATTAAAAATATATTAAAAACCAGTGATTCCTCTCAGTTGTATTTGAGAGTTTCTAATACAAATCATGCACCAGGGACTACTTATAGAGAAATTAATAGTTTTTTAACTATAATGTATAAGATCTTCCTTGACCTAAATCACTCATTTTTTTCCATGTCATTATGCTTCTCAGATAGTTTTCTATAGTAATTCTGAACAACTGATAGCTCCCTACACCACCTGTGTCGTTTTGCTACTGCTGTTGCAGTTTTCTAAAACACCGTCTATTCCTCCCCTCACTTTTTCTGCTTCAACCTCCTCTTGGATGATTTCCATATAGCCTTCTAATGTCAGCCAAATATCATGTGCAGGAAGGATTGCCTGAAGCACTAGGTTTTACATTCAATGTGTTTTCTTGGCACTCCTGCAAAGCCTTCTCTACTATCTCTCTTTCAGGCATTGAAACAGTCTGTTTATACATGTCTTCCCAACTAAAGTCTTCACTGATGGGCATCATACTTTACTTATTTTTATATGTCTCATCTCTAGAACAATGTCTAGTGTATAGTGGACACTCAGCAAATACTTAATAAATTGAAAAATTGAACACAGTGAGCCTACATCAGCAATTCTTTCAGAAATACTACAGTTAATAAGGAGTTTCAGTGGCAATTTTCTTATTAAATTAGGCATATGGCAAGTTAAATGAGGTGCTATAAAGAAGTATTTTGAGAAATGCTTTCTTGTTCAGAAAAGAATATGCGGTACGGAGAATTAAGCTCATTATATCTCTATGTTTTCTGACCTTTTGGTGTGCCTTAACTTCGTTTTTAATTTTTGAGAGCATTCATGTGAGCTAAGGTACCACACTGAAATTGGAAGACATCAGTGCTTTCTCATTCCTCCAATAAACAGAAGAAATGTCAAAATTAGATTAACAGCGTGGCTCATACTTTATTCTAATAAATATTAAGCATCTTCTGGTTCAGAAATCAATTACAGATATACCCTGGATATATTGCAGGTTTGGTTCCAGACTACCACGATAAAGCAAATATTGCAATAAAGCAAGTCAAACAGTTTTTTCGTTTGCCAGTACATATAAACATCATCTTTACACTATACCATAGTCGAGTCAGTGTGAAATGGAATTATGCCCAAAAAAGTACATGCCTTAGTTAAAAATATTTTATTGCAAAACAAAAAACAAAAACAAAACATTGAAGATCACCTGAGCCTTCAGCAAGTTGTAATCTTGTTTGCTGGTAGAGGGTCTTGCCTTGAACTGGATGGCTACTGACTAATTGGGGTGGTGGTTGTTGAAGGTTGGGGTAGCTAGGGCAATTTCTTAAGAAAAAAATGAGGTTTGCTGTATCAGTCAATTCTTCCATTCACAAAGTATTTCTCTGCAGCATGTGATGCTGTTTTGTAGCATTTACCTACAATGGAACTCCTTTCAAAATTGGAGTCAATCCTCCTAAAACCTGCCACTGTTTATTAACTGTTTATATAATATTTTAATTATTTTGTTATGATTTCAACAATATTCATAGCATCTTCACCAAAAGTAGATTTCATCTCAAGAAACTACCTTGTTTGCTCATCTGTAAGAAGCAAGTCCCCTTTTGTTCAAGTTTTATCATGAAATTGCAGCAATTCAGGCCCATCTTAGGGCTTTACTTCTAATTTCAGTTCTCTTGTTATTTCCACCCCTCTGCAGTTACTTCCTCCATTGAAATCTTGGCCCCTCAAAGTCATCCATGAGGCTTGGAATAACTTCTTCCAAAATCCTGTTAATGTTTATATTTTGACCTCCTCTCATGAATCACCAATGTTCTTAATGGCATCTAAAATGATAAATCCTTTCCATAAGGTTTTCAATTTACTTTGTCAAGAATCATCATAGAAGTCACTATCTTTGGTAGCTATAGCCTTACAAACTGTATTTCTTAAATAATAAGACTTGAAAGTCAAAATTACATTTTTTGTCTATGGACTTTAGAATGGATGTTCTGTTGGCAGTCATGAAAACAACATTCATTTCCTTATACATCTCCGTCTGAGCTCTTGGGTGACTAGGTGAATTGTCAATAAGCAGTAATATTTGGAAAGGATTTTTTTTTTTCCTGAGCTGTGGGTCTCAACAGTAGACTTAAAATATTTAGTAAACCAGCTGGGTGTGGTGGCTCACGCCTGTAATCTCAGCACTTTGGGAGGTACAGGTGGGCTACTCACGAGGTCTTGAGTTTGAGACTAGCCTGACCAACATGGTGAAACCCCATCTCTACTAAAAATACAAAAATTAGCCAGGCGTAGTGGCATGCACCTGTAATCCCAGCTACTGAGGAGGCTGAGGCAGGAGAATCGCTTGAACCTGGGAGGCAGAGGTTGCGGTGAGCTGAGATCATACCATTGCACTCCAGCCTGGGTGACAGAGCAAGAGTCTGTCTTTAAAAAAGAAATTAATAAACCATGCTGTGAGCAGATGTGCTGTCATCCAGGCTTTGTTGTTCCATTTGTAAGACAACAGGCAGAGTAGATTTAGCAAAATTCATAGGGGCTCTAGGATTTTTATAATGGTTAATGAACATTGGCTTCAACTTCAAATCACCAGTTGTATCAGCCTCTACTAAGAGAGTCAGGCTGTTTTTTGAAGCTTTGAAGCCAGGCATTGACTTCTCTCTAGCTTTGAGTGTCCTTGATGGCATCTTCTTGCAATAGAAGGCTGTTCTGTATACATTTAAAATCTGTTGTTTAGTGTAGCCACCTTCATCAATGATCTTATCTAGATCTTTTTGATAACTTGCTGCAGATTCTACATAAGTACTTCCTGCTTTACCTTGCACTTTAATGTTATGGAGATGACTTCTTTCCTTAAACCTCATGAACCAACTCTGCTAGCTCACACTTTTCTTCTGCAGTTTCCTTACTTCTCTCCACCTTCATAGAACAGAAGACAGCTAGGGCTATATTCTGGGTTAGACTTTGGCTTAAAGGAATGTTGTGACTGGCTTTATCTTCTATCCAGACCGCTAAAGTTTCTCTATAACCACAATAAAACTCATTTGCTTTTTAATCATTCCTGTCTTCACTGGAGTAGCACTTTCAATTTCCTTCAAGGACTCTTCCTTTGCATTCACAACTTGGCTGTTTGGCATGAGAGGCCTAGCTTTTGGACTATCTTGGCTTTAGGCATGCCTTCTTCACTGAGCTTAATCATTTCCAGCTTTTAATTAAAAGTGAAATATGTGTGACTCTTTCATTTGAACAGTTAGAGGCCACTGTAGAATTACTACTCGACTTATTTTCGATATTGTTGTGTCTCAGGGACTAGAGAAGGCCCAAGGAGCAGGAGACAGATGGGGGAATAGCTGGTTAGTGAAGCAGTCAGGACACACAACGTTGATTGATTAAGTTTACAATTTTATATGGGTGCAGTTCATTTGCCTCAAAATAATTCACTCTTATTCAAAATAATTTCAATAGTAACATCAAGTATCACTGATCACTGTTCATAGATCACCCTGTTATAATATTAATTAAAAAGTTTGAAATATAATAATTACCAAAATGTGACACAAATATGAAGTGAGCACTTACTGTTGGAAAAATGATGCCGATGAACTTGCTTGACACAGGGTTGCAACAAACTTTCAGTTTGTAAAAACGGCAATAGGAGTGAAGTACGATACAGTGAAGAGCCATGAAATAAGGTATACCTGTACTAACAGATACAGACTAGTGTGGAATGATATATTTCAGATGTATTTCATTTGTAAATGCAGGTGACCTAGAACTGAAATAACATACAAACTGCTACAGTTTCAAATAATCAGCTTGTCAAAATAAATAGTTTTTTATGTTGAGATACACATCGCTTTACTGACTTTTCACAATGAACACTTTCTTTGGAGTGGTGATTCCAAGGGCTGACTAACAATGATGCCATCTGCTTTCAGCCATTGTTTGAAATGATCTCTCTTTGGTTCCAGGCTAGAATAAAATGATGACAAATAATTTGTGTATTGTGCCTTTTGATTAGCAAAATCATTTCCCATAAAATGTTATATTTAAAATTGGTAAGACTGTGTAATAATAATTATATGGGAAACATTGATGACCTGGTTCAAACATCAATCTAAAATTTTCTAACTATGTTAATTTGGACAAATTCCTTCATGTCTCTATGCTTTCTCTTTTCTCATATGTAAGACATATTAATAATACTATTCTGCAGACATTTTTTATTCTCAATGTGTAAGCATTGAGAATAACGTCTATCAAATTGTCATATTTAAAAATGTTAATGATTGTTATGATTGAAAACACATGTTGGAAAAAAATTTCACATAATGCCGATCCATATATCTACTGTTACTTAAAGATTTAAATACATGCATTTTCTATTTTGCTATTCATTTTCTTGGAATTTTTAGTCCAGTTGCTTCACGTAGGGCAACATCCATTATTATCAAATATGTCACATAATAAACAAGATAAAGAGACATCATTATCCAAAGTCACTGTTTTTCTAATGTTGACCTGATATGTAATAAAACATCAATGAAACAACAAAATACATAACAAAATAAAACAACCATGACCGTTTTATATGTGTTTGAGGAAATATTTTTGTATAATTACCAAATTGTCAGTTAAAAAAATTTACCGTTTGTTTCCATGATGTTATTTTTTCTATCTCTGGAAACAAAGATTCTACCTCTGTTTTGACCTGGGTTCTTTGTAGTTGTTTCCAGTGCTTCTCTCAACCCCATTTACACAGTCATAGCCACTGTTAAGGAATTTTTTACTGCTTGAAAAAGTTTTAATATTCAGCAGGTTAAGGAAACTCATGGTCAGCTTTAGAATTTTAGTCTCTGCTGAGCTTTCAAGGTGTCAAGGCCCTAAAATAATATGAACAGCAGGAGTACTAAATCTTTTATTATTTCCAGTTTCCCCTTGAGCATACTGACTTTGCAATAAAGAAGCTGTCATTTACAGTCTTCTTTATTGCAAGGTGGGTAATAGCTACAGGGAGAAAAATAAGGAACTGTGTCAAGTTAGCCTAAGTGCCATTATGATTAATGTGTAATCATTGCACATTTGCATCTACTCTTTTCATATACAGGTACTTCATAGATTGGAAGAGTGATGGGGACAGCTACTTTACAATAGATGGAAATGAAGGAACCATCGCCACTAATGAATTACTAGACAGAGAAAGCACTGCGCAGTATAATTTCTCCATAATTGCGAGTAAAGTTAGTAAGTATGGCATGGACAGAATCAATGTTATACTGCAGTTCTTTGGATTTAAGACTCTTAAATGAGTCCCTGCTGAGATGTTTTTCATTTTTGGACTGACAGCTGAGTGGTCTCGCGGGGAAACTCAGAAACCTATTCCTTTTCCTCAGAGCATAAGTCCAGAGAAATTGTGACAGCTGCCAATGAGTCCTGTTTGCAGTATTGCATGAATATCTAGTAGTGCATTTCATTGTGTGACCTCATCCTGTTCTATGCTTTACCCTCAAAAATTCACCCGAGTTTTAATTTCTCTTCCACACAGTTTCCTTTTACATATCATTGGGTATTTCACAGGGCCAGGTGAGGGGAAATAATTATCATGTAAAATCACCCATTCTGAAATATTTTCTGACATCAAAGAGAGTATTTAAAAACTCATACATCTTCCTTTTCTCTCCCTTTATTCAAATTTATTTTTGATGACTATCACTATGGAATATACAGGAGTTTCAATTGCAGTTCTTCAAGGAGTGGCTCAAAATGTTTATTATTATTAGGAATTATTTGTTGAGTTGGTTTCTGCTTGGTTCAGAAAAGAATCCTCTAGACTGAGTGATTATAGGTTTTATTTGTTTGGCAGAACGATCAAGGTTATTATCACAACTTTCTCAAGTAATGGATCAGGGTGAAAGTGGTGACGTTTGGCTCTTGAGATAATTGTTCTTAATAAAAGTGCAGCTCCCCATTCCTTTTACTTATGGTCTCTTGAAACGTTTGGAAAAATCTCAACTGAATCTCTTCCATTTGCTTCCTTCTTCTTTTATTTTGTGCATCTGGTGCAAATTTATAACACTTTAGCAGCTAATTCCCACTTTCCATGCAGGGAATAGCTGTGAGCATTTCTGCTGAAGGGTTTTGATCAGTCCAACTCAGTGGGAATGTAAACATCAAACAGTTTTGTTTGTCTTCAACAACTCCGAACAAACATGAATAGTCAGATACCCATTCCCACATCTTCGTGATATCTTTAGCTGATCCCATTACTTTTAGTTTATTTTGATTATTAAAAGTAAGTCTAACATAAAAGATCACGCAGCTTCTGCCTTGCTCGTTGGAACACTTAGAGTTCCAAAGTGTCATGTAAGAAGTCTGACTACCCAGAGGCTGCCATACTAGAGAGGCCACGTTGCGGTGCTCAGGTTGACAATTCCAGCTCAGCTCTGCCTTCCAACCATACCTCCCAGTGTTCTGGAAATGTGAGTGATGCTGTCTTTGAGCTTCTAGTCCAGTCCACTGTACTAGTGGGATACCACAGTGTAAAGTTCATCAATGCCATGTGAAATGGAATATTAGCCCAGTCAAATCCTGCCCAAATTCTTACCCACAAAATTGTAATAAATATGAAAAATTATTTGTCACAATTTTACAATATTTCACATTTATTAAAAGTAACTACATTTTGATGTCTGCTGATACATGGGAACAGATATCTGAAGAACTCAAAGACATAATCAGAACTTTCATTCCTTCGGGGTGGGGCTACTGATTCCCAGTTTCTTGCAATAGAAAGGAAAGGAAAATTTTTAAAATGCATAAATCTCTATGAATATAGTGCCAATATAGTGCTCCATTGGTTGCCACTTTTTTTTTTTTTGAGATAATAGTCTCACTCTGTCACCTAGACTGGAGTGCAGTGGTGCAATCTCGGCTCACCGCAACCTCCGCCTTCTGGGTTCAAGCGATTCTCCTGCCTCAACCCACCGAGTAGCTGGTATCACAGGCATGTATCATCGCACCTGGCTAATTTTTGTATTTTCAGTAGAGACAGGGTTTCACCATCTTGGCCGTGCTGATCTCGAACTCCTGACTTTAGGTGATCCACCTGCCTCGGCCTCCCAAAGTGCTGGGATTACAGGAGTGAACCACCGTGCCTGGTCTGGTTGCCGCTGTTTTTAGGGCTAAAATGGAATGGCAGTAAAGACAGTTGTTCAAATGCTAATTCTTATGTAATTTTGTGAATTATTTGCTGTTGGGGGCTCTGGGTGTCCCCTCCGCATAGGAATCTGACATGGGCACCCAGTGGTAGACCTTATAACTTCTTAATTCTAGAGGCCCCTTGCTTAGCAGGCAGGCTTTTTGGGTAAATTGACAGCACGGTTTCTCAATTTTAGCTCCTTTCTCCTGTGTCCAGCTGACCATGGGAAATTCACTCATCTTTATGATGTTAAAACAGGTGCGTTATAGGTTGCCACTATATTGCAGGTTTCCTCTGCCTTGCCGTCTTCTTTCATATCTGCCCTCTTTGGGCAGTTAGGCTTGGGATGATCAGTGAGTTAGCTACCAAGCAGTCATATTATAGGGAGAAGAGAATGACAGTCTCCCCTTCTTGAAGGGCTCCCATCCTCATTCTCTTTGTTTTCCCCAAGTCTCCTTTCACACCTGGCATCTATCTCCCCTCCCATACCACATTCTATTATAGTTACATATGTTTTCCTCATTCATTTCATGCTTTCATTTATTTCATTTATGCAGAATTTGGGGACAGCTAAAATATATCATAATTTTAAAAATCCACTTTCGTTTTATAAGATCTTTGAGAAATAATATGGTGAAAATGAGTTGTCTAAGTTACAGAATAGAAGACCTCTGTGAACCATGTTACTTTCACTCCAGTGGTGGGGATACAATAAATGACAACTGACCAGAGGTAGTCTCTTCAATAACTTCTACTTATCATAAACATGTTGT
Organism: Homo sapiens; assembly: GCF_000001405.40. NCBI lineage: Eukaryota > Metazoa > Chordata > Mammalia > Primates > Hominidae > Homo > Homo sapiens. The sequence continues at coordinate 21,780,630 of NC_000005.10, read as the reverse complement.
CCATAATAAAAGATTATTCAGTAGAAAACTATCTAATCTAACCTAAACCTTCCTATTCATACACACATGAAACAGGTGCATGTTTCCTTGATGTAGGCATAATAGGCTTGTGTGCCTTAACTCTAGATGGATGTCTCAGACAGTTTATTGATTGCTTCTGCTGTAGCTGTGGCAGGTCTCTTTCTTTCCAATGGCTCCTTGGGTTATCAAAGCAATTATGGGATTGAAGACACTCATAACGATAAGGTCTAGTGTCTCCTTTCAGAGCCTTGAGCTTCAACAATTTAGAAAATGGAAGGAAGTATGAACCTTTATAGTGGAAGCAAGTGTTATTAGTCCCTGAAAGTTTAGATCTTAGAATCCTAATTTGTTAGTTATTAATATGATTGGTGCATATGCGGGCTCTGTCACACTACCAGCTGCTGGCTACAGTTTTTACCTAAATGAAAATCAGGAATCCACAGGGTATGGAGGCTAATAAGTTATGTTGCTCCTCACTGGGTCATAGGCAGAACTGGGACTTAGACAAATTAACAAAATATATGCACAATCTAAGAGTGATACCAAACTAATATTCCTAAAATGGACTTCTGGTTAATTCCACTATCTACTCAGTGGCCAATGTAAAGATATTAGAACCATAAAGGAAATCGGGTATGACAAAGACTGTATATCTGTATGAAAAATAAAGAGGCTAAACACTATCAAGTGGTAATTAAAGATTCTATAAGAAGAGTAGGTAATCATAGGTTTTTATTTTGTTTGAATGCACAGCTTAAAAGTAAACTTTATTCATATTCTAATGCCTAAGACTGTCTTCCTTGATCACACTAGCCAGCTGAACAGGGAATATCATCACCGTGAATAAATGAGAAATGAATAGCCCACACTTGCCCTGCCAAGAAGAATGAAATTGCTTAAGTATACCTTATTGCAAATTGAACTAGCATATGTTTTGGCTCTGACCCTTTTATAAAAACTCTCAGGTGAAATGAAATGGCACGATGATTGAACAACTTTCAATTAATTAAAAAGCAGTCATTAATCAGTGTTGCTATAGTTGGAGGTCCAAATAATTTTATTAGACTTCTAATAATTCTTTTATGCATTACTGCTTTGCTGTTTTTATTATATTAACCTTGAGTATTTTCAATGAGACAGAGACTCCAAACTTTACTTCATTCAAATTATCAGAAAGTTTCAACAGGCAAATGTTTCTAGGATTTTTGTGTTACTTTAACAAATGTCATTAATTAAAGATAACTAGCCAGACAGGATGGCTTGCAACTGTAGTCCCAGCTACTCAAGAGGCTGAGGTGGGAGGATCACTTGAGGCCAGGAGTTCAAGACCAGTCTGAGCAACATACTGAGACCTGTCTCAAAAAAGAAAAACAAAATTAACAAAAGGAAAAAGAAAGTGAATAAATAAATAAATATAACTAAACATAACTTCACTAAATCCTTAGAATATATTTTATATGATTATAAAATAAAAAGGTGATACCAGAGACAATGCTTTTCTTGGTCCTATTAGTTATCAAGATGGCAGTGCATTGGTCCCATTTATTGTGGAATAAGTTAAAAAAAAACAGTGAATTCCCTTACTAAATGCTATATTGAAAAAAGTTTACATATAATTGTATCATTATGAGTTGTGATAAAGTTGTTAGATAATTAATTTTTAAGGTTATCTTCTATATAGCTATTTTATGTTGTAACTTTTTAAAATTTCACATGAAGTAATATTATCCTTATATGTACAGAAAATCAAATTTCAAGATTGGTACCTATAATTCAGATTCAACATAAATTCATGCATTTTTTGGTATCACCTGTATAGAGTACTATCTATGAGCAAAACATTATTTGTTGTGGGTTAGGAGAAAACTGATTAGGAATGATATCTATTCTTAAGGGCATTACAATTTAGTAGTAGTTATAAGTTGACCAGATTTGTAAATTTTGGTAAGTAATAACTGTGCAAATTATGCTGAATTCCAGGGAAATTAGATTTAAGTGAACTGTCATATAAACTTCAGAGGGTGGTTGCAAAAATTTAGGACTGATGACAATATGGTCATGAAGAATTTAAACAAAAAAAAAAAAAAATAGAGATTTTTCCGGCAGAATCGTCTGAAGTTTTTTTTTTTTTTTTTTTTTTTTTGGCTTATATGCCAAATTGTCAGCTCTGGAATGATATTATCACAACATATGAGAAGTGAGTACCTAATTTTTCTAGAATAACATTAACAATATAATAAAGTAATAAACTATATTAATAGCTTTCTATGCATTAACTCATCTGATCCTTTCAATGAACCTGCAGAGTGAGTGTTCTTGTTCACATTGTGGGCATGAGGAATGGACTTTCAGAGATATTTTGTCTGTAGCTCAGTGTCACACAGCTAATGATGACCAGGCTCGGACCAACACCCTGGAGTCTCTCATTCCAGAACACATTCTGAGGATGAGACTGACAACAATTTCACAGGGAACATATTCACCATGTTTCATTTATTTATTTTAAATACTTTAGGGGTTGTGATTGGGAGATGTTGCTCAAGTAATGAAAACATTTGAGTTAGATAGGAGGAATTAATTCAAGAGATCTATTGTACAACATGGTGACTATAGTTAATATATTGTATTCCTGAAAAATTCTGACAGTGGATATAAAATGTTTCTACAAAAATTATAACTATGTGAGGTAGTGCATATGTTAATTAGCTAGATTTACTCATTCTACAATGTATATATACTTCAAAACAGTGTATTGTACATGGTAAATACATACAGTTGTATCTGTCAGTTAGAATGTTAACTTAAAAATGTTAGTGGTAGGCTGGGCATGGTGGCTCATGCCTGCAATCCCAGCACTTTGGGAGGCCAAGGCAAGAGGATCACTTGAGGTCAGGAGGTCAAGACCAGCCTGGCCAACATGGTGAAATCTTGTCTCTACTAAAAACACAAAAATTAGCTGAATATTGTGGCGGGCGCCTATAATCCCAGCTACTCGGGAGGCGGAGGTTGCAGTGAGCCGAGGTCATGCCACTGCACTCCAGCCTGGGTGACAGAGTGAGACTCTGTCTCAAAAAAAAAAAAAATGTTAGTGGTAACAATTATCAAAGTAATTTCCATTGCATAGATAAATAATAACATAGTAAAAAAGACTAAATATTTTTATTTGCAATGTACATATAGTTGAAGTGAAATACGTATTTATTATCTATCTATATTTAAGCTTATTAGAGGGCTTACATATCAAAATTCAATAGAAATTTGCATTTTAGAAAGAAAAAACAGAGACTCAGAATAGAAAAATATGTGTGTGATATTATGTACATAACAGTGGTATAGTTAGGTAGATTTCTATCTATGCTCAATAAATGTGAATTACCAGGATCTCAAGCTACAGTAAGAGTTCCTAATAACTTAATTGTGAAGGATCTTTTTTGATAATTTCCCTTGTACATTGAAAGAGTTTGTCTACCTGACATCATACTCTTATTTAAGCAATATTTATTAAATAACTTTATGTTTAATTAATCAGAGTGACAATTTGATCAACATAATAGCACACTTAGTTGATATAATTACAAAATGATGTGTCCATTAACCTTATAATGAAATGATATGTAATATCTAATATACCAGACTTTTTGAAATATTGAAAAAATACAGCCTCATTATCAATAATTTCTCAATACCTCAGTTGGGAACTGATGAACAAAAACATACTTGGTAGTTATGATATGCAAACTATGTGTTTTTCACCTTGTGCTCAATGGTGCCATCACAGGTCCTGTCTTGGGGTGACTCAGTGATGAGAATTAGTTAAGACACACAAGACGTATTAACTAATGTAGACCTTCAAAATCAGGGCAGGGTGTGGGAAGGAATAAGACTTTCTGGCAAATATGTTCAATGATGCAGGCAGCATATGGCACTCTCAATATGGTGCCCTTGAATAAGGCAATCTTAATTATAAATGGGGTGGAGGATGGCACATAAATAGAAGATGAAGTCACAAATATCCTAAAAATAGGTGGAGCATAATACTGGTAATCGGAAGTGGATCATATTTAGATTTTAAGGGTAGAAAGACAGCAACATTTCTTTGAAAGATGTTCTCAGGTACTACACTGCTATTCACGAACAGGTCTTCAATTCTTGGGGAGGAAGAGTGCAGGAACTTAGAAGAAAAACCTACTCTTTATGTATGAGGTATTAGTTACTTATGCTATGTTACAAATTTGGTAGTTTAAACAACATGTATTATTTTACAGTTAGGAGAGTTAGGAATCCATTTATGGTGAATCTTTGTTCTCTAAGGTTTCTCTTGTAAGACTGCAATTAAGTTGACTCAGTGGTTGATAGCAAGATTCAGTGTGCTTGTAGGCTGTTGGACGAGCAACTATTCCACACTGCTGTTTGATCCGAAGCTGCCCTCAGTTTCCAGCCACAGGAGCATCTCCATAGAGCAGTTTGTAACATGGCAGCTGGCATGATCAAAATGAGCAAGAGAAAGAGAAAGTGCCAGCAAGATGAAAGTCAGCTTTTTATAACTTAATGTCAGAAATGACATCTCCTCTTTTCCCACATTCTCTTTATTGGAAGCAAGCCACTAGCTTCAGACCATACTTAAAGGAAAAGAGTTACATGAGGGTGTGAATATCAGGAGGTGGGGATCGTTGGGAGCCATTATAGAAGCTTGCCTACCATATGGGCTCTTGGCAATCAGACAAGTCAATTGAAAAAAGAGAAAAAATTAGAAACCATATTTGTTGGCCTCTAGGCACTGAAAATGTCAAGAGAAATGCAACAATCTGGCTAAATACATTAAATATAAAATCAAAATTCAGAGTGCTCCCAGAAAGAATATAATAAGTAATTATTTTTTTAAAAAAAATTACTTTGAAGACCTAAACATAGTGTCACATAGGAAGCTCCATATGAGTTAAGGATTTAAAATATTAAAAAAAAGAAAATCATCATGGAAGGAAGGATGCCATTCTAGGTTGAAGAAACATTTTAAGCAAAGGCATAGCTATGAAAAGTCATGTTGAGGTCAGATATTGCAAGCAGTGTGGTATAGTTGCTGTCAAGGAGTAGACATTCAGAGAGGAGGCTGAGGCTTCATTCAACAGAGCCTTAAAAGACTTGTGAGAATCTGCAGTTTTTCAGGTGCGACTAAGAGTCTGCCCTCCTTCTCATTCTATCTCCTCTACCTGTGTGCCCCCAGCTTACTATGGATCCAAAGAAGCATTTCACTTCTCCAACTTTTCCTATCTGTTCCTAGGCCTGCATTTCTGTGAACAAGCACTGATTGGCTTACAGTGTATTCACCTGGGTGACTATATAGTTAACCTTACGAGAAACAAAGTGACAAAGAGGTGTGGATTCTTTGTGGTGTTTGGGCAGAAATATTCTCCTTAATTTGGCCAGACTTGTTTTCAAAAAAGGTATTAATAGTTCTATTCGCTTTGAGAATAGGCATCCTTGGTTTGGCCTTTATCTTCTCTACTGGCCTTCCTCAATGTGAATCACAGCCACCTGCATCAGAGACACCTGGAACATTTCCTAAAGGGAAGATTCTTCTACCTCTTTCAAGTCATGGTGAATCAGACTTTCTGGGAGTACTGCCAAGAAATCTCCATTTCAAACAAGCTCCCTGAGTAACTCCAAGGAACACTGATTTGGGACCCACTGTGTCATTCTCAAATTTTAGTAAACAAAAGAGTGGAATCAGTTACCATGAATATATGTACTTACTCAAAGACTGTAGTTGACTTTTCAGGACTAAACATAACCATTGGTTTCAATTCCAAATTGATGTCAATCCTTTCTTCTTTCAATTGCCCAAATTATTGCTTTCCTCTTATTTTTCGTAAATGCCTTGTTTTACATGAGTGTAGGTAGTTTATTTACTGTGTTCTAATTTCCTTTCTTTTTCCCAAGTAACTATATAAAACTATTTTGTATTCTCAAAGAAAGATAAGTGTGGCTTATACTAGAATTGCCAATATTTTATTAGTACTTGTATATTAGGGTTCTTTAAAGGGACAGAACTAATAAGATAGATGAATGTATGAAAAGGAGTTTATTAGGGGAAATGACTCACATGATCACAAGATGAGGTCCCACAATAGACCATCTGCAAGGTGAGGAGCCAGGAAGCCAGTCGGAGTCCCAAAACCTCAAAAGTAGGGAAGCCAATAGTGCAACCTTCAGCCTGTGGCAGAAGGACCGAGAGTCCCTGGTAAATCACTGGTCTAAGTCCAAGAGTCCAAAACCTGAAGAACTTGGGGTCTGATGTTTGAGGGAAGGAAATATCCATCCAGCACAAGGGAATGATGAAGGCAGGAAGACTCAGTGAGCTTATTCCTTCCACGTTCCTCTGCCTGCTTTTGTCCTAGCCACGCTGGCAGCTGATTAGATGGTGCCCACCCAGACTGAGGGTGAGTCTGCCTCTCCCATTCTACTGACTCAAATGTTAATCTGCTTTGGCAACACCCTCACGGACACACCCAGGAACAATGATTTGCATCCTTCAGTCCAATCAAGTTGACACTCAGTATTAACCATCACAAGTCTACCCTTTGTCAACTTGAACCCACACACATCTCCTGAAATCATACATAATCACCAAATGAAGACAATAATAAGGTCATAATTATGCCTAACATAGTACAGTTATCCTTCTTACAACCAGAAGCACACTAATCATTAACCTAAATGCTATTATATAAAGTTAACAACATTTAAATGCTGATATGAAGTCAATAAATCTTATGTCACATGATAAAGAAAAAAAGGAAATAAAGATATTTTCTTAGTACAACTGTATACATGTACAAACATGTTCTTAACAAAATAAGGGTGAATATTCCTTAGTAGATGAATTCCTTAGTAGATGAATATCTGAAGGGGAGTTTATTAAGATAATTGATTCACAGGATCACAAGGTGAAGTCCCACAACAGGCCATCTGCAAGATGAGGAGCCAGGAAGCCAGTGCAAGTCTCAACACCTCAAAAATAGGGAAGGCAATAGTTGCAGCGTTCAGTCTGTGGCTGAAGGCCCAAGAGCCCCAGGGAAATCGCTGGTGTAAGTCCAAGAGTTTATAAGCTGAAGAACTTGGAGTCTGATGTTCGAGGGCAGGAAGGATCCAGCACAGGTGAAAGATGGAGGCCAGAAGATTCAGCTTGTCCAGTCCTTCCGCGTTCTTCTGCCTTCTTTTATCCTAACCCCACTGGCAGTTGATTAGATGGAGGCCCACCTGAATTGAGGGTGGGTCTGCCTCTTTCAGTTCACTGACTCAAATGTTAATCTCCTTTGGCAACACCCTCATAGACACATCCAGGAACAATATTTTGAATCCTTCAATCCAATCAAGTTGACACTCAAATTAACCATCACAACTTTGAAGAGTAGTACTTCGAAGAAAGAATCACTAATGAGGTTTTCACATCATTTCGTAAAGCACTGTAATGTATCATATACATCGGAAATAATAATCATTAACATCACCATAATCATCAGTGTAATTTAGAAATAATACCATTTTTCTCATTATTATATGCTATGTAAATGTAATGAAATCCAAATTTGTATTGTGATAGACTGTATTTTATCTTAAATTTTCAACTGCTTTTGCGTACATTACTGTAATCAAACTGCTTAAGAATACTTTAAATCAATCTAATTGCTCCATCAAAATCACATGTACAACTATAATGCCAGGCTTATATTTTTCTTAATTAGTATCTGATTATCACAGGAAATTAAAACTACATGATGAACTTTTCACCTAAAGGTTGAAATTTGGATAAAAATTATATTTAGACATGTAGATAAAATTCTTTTTAATATCACATGCAAGAGAGAATTCACAATTAGAAAATGTTTTTACATGGAATTGTTATCTTGTTGACATCATATACTATATCATATTGAATCAATTACTATAGGAATAGATTCAATATGATATAGTATATGATGATACTTACAAGTTCATACTTCTTAGTATAAACTTCTTAGTATCAAAGATTCTATTTGGGCCAGGCACGGTGGCTCACACCTATAATCCCAGCACTTTGGAAGGCCAAGGTCGGTGGATCAATAGTAAGAAGGTAAAAAGATATTTTCGTTGGCAGAAATAGCATACATCAAGCTCTAGAAATGGAATAAAGCATAAAATATTCCGAAAAATATGCAGGATTTCAGAATAGGAAAGAGAAAAGAAACCAAGGATAAGTACAAGGTAAAACTCTCTCTGTGGTCTCTGTGCCTCTGTCTCTCACTATCCCCTTTGCCTCCCAATAATGAAGAAAATCCAGATGACAAATATGATTTTTTTTCTCAGCATGTTCTGATATTTTGATTTTTATCCTGAAGCAAAGAGGTACACATTGAGGAGATATAATCAAAGACAGAACTTGATCTTACCGGTACTTTTGAAAATTTATGTTGGTTACAGTGTAAACCAAAAATAAAATTCTAAGCCCAACAACTCACTGAATGGACCTCTCCTCTCAACCAAGAGGATTCCAAAGTAAATCTGAAAAACTTAGCTCAGGCTATGATGATGGGAAGGGGAGTCGAACATGTCTCACAATACTCTGTTCCTTTTGGAAATCAGGCACAACTGATCAGCAATAACATTGAAACAAAGATCTTACGAATGACAAAACAGACTCTTTGTAGCAATAAGATACCAAATTTCATCCTGACTCTAGTGACATCACATGACACGACAGATAGCTAGGCCCTAAAAGGAATCAAAGTAATTTACTCCAAAATATATTTATTTGACATATTTTGAAATGGGCCTGCAATGCTATTTCTCATGGGGGAAAATTTACATTCTGTACATCGTTTTCTTTCTTTTTCAGGTCTTTTCCTGATCCTGGAGAGATGTAACTAAGAATCTAGTACCTTTTTGGGTCTGATAAGAGACATTTAGCATCTATTCTCTCTGAAGCCTTCTACCTAGAGGCTTCATCTATATAATAAGAGCCTTGGTCTCCACAACCCCTAATCTTAACCCAGACACTCCTTTTTATTGATTCCAGGTCCTTAAATAATAACTTAACACTCTCAACCAATTGCCCATCAGAAAATCTTTGAATCCACCTTTATGGAATCACAGAAGTATATTGGTGAAGAAATTATCTTTATGGATTCCCCAGACTAGCTACAGATTATATTAGACATGATATAATTTAATGTGCCATTTAAACATAACTGAACTAAAGAGAAAAGTCAAAGAAAGCCTGTGTCAACCTATATCATTCATTTATTATATCTTACTGAGTTTGCACTAGTATAATTCAGTTTCATGGCATAAAAGGCTAAGATTCCATTCTAGAAGTTATTGTAGTTGTAATTTAGAACACAGTCACACAATTGAATTTTAACTTTAAAAAAAAAAAACTTTCATTTTAGGTTCAAGGGTACATGTGCAGATTTGTTATGTATGTAAGTTGCATATCATGGGAGTTTGACATACAGATTATTTTGTCACTAGGTAATAGTTTTTTGATCTTCACCCTCCTCCCACTCTCTGTCCTCAAGTAGGCCCTGATGTCTATTATCCCTTCTTTGTGTTCATATGTACTCAAAGTTTAGTTCCCACTTACAATTGAGAACATGTGGCATTGGGTTGTCTGTTCTTAGGTTAGTTTGCTTAGGATAATGGCCTCCAGCTCCACCCAGGTTTCCGCAAAGGTCATGATCTTATTCTTTCTTATGGCCCCATAGTATTCCATTATGTATATGTGCCACATTTTAAAAATCCAGTCTACCATTGATGGACATTTGGGTTTATTCTGTGTCTTTGCTATTGTGAATAGTGCTGCAATGAACATACATGTGCATGTGTCCTTATGGTACAACAATTTATATTCTATTGGCTATGCACCCAATAACGGGATTGCTGGGTCGAAGAGTAATTCTGTTGTAAGTTCTTTGAGAAATCACAATACCGAATTTTAACTTTTTTTTTTTTTTTTGAGATGGACTTTTGCTCTTGTCACCCAAGCTGGAGTGCAATGGCACAATCTCAGCTCACTGTTACCTCCACCTCTCGGGTTCAAGAGATTCTCCTGCCTCCCGAGTAGTGGGGATTACAGGCGCCCACCACCATGCCCAGCTACTTTTTGTATTTCTAGTAGAGATGGGGTTTCACCATGTTGGCCAGACTGGTCTCAAACTCCTGACCTCAGGTGATCCACTTGCCTTGGCCTCCCAAATTGCTGAGATTACAGGCGTGAGCCACCATGCCTGGCCGAATTTTAACTCTTATAGTTATTCCAAAGAGATGTTATTTTTCAATAAAGAAACAAAATAACTCCAGTGTATTTTAATCTAACAAGAACCTTGTGTTCATTAGTACTTTACCATTTTCAAAACATGTTCAATTACACTTCTCATTTGGTTCTTGGAAACACATCTACGAGGTACAATTTTAAGAAGCTCTGCCTTGTCCTTTGAATGTAAAGTGGGCTTCCTCATAGCCTGGTGGCTAGATGAGTTCTGAATGTGACTCAGTGAGGATACTTGATCATCACATATGTTGGTAGATTTCAGGCATTCCATCTTCTTGCTCTCTGAGTTAGTTAATAGCTATCATAGAGCGTTGAGAAACTGTGAGAAGATCTGGATTCCTGTCTTGACTCCAATAGAAATCATAGGAAAGATTATATCAATGTTTTCCATCTATAAATAGATGTCTATGCATCTATAGTTTTCAAACTTTGTAGATGATCAGGACACTTTGTCAAATAAAATCTTATGTGGAATCTCAATAGATTACATCAAGAAAATGGTGGTTGATGCCAACAGCTTATCTTTAGTCCTAACGAAACCACGTAGCACTACGAAGAATAGCATGAGAACTATAAGTTTATATAATGCCTAAATTCTCTTTTATATTTAAAATTCAGGTTTTCCAGGGTTTATCAAAAGTTGCAATGGTAGTTCCCAGTGAACCCATTTCTAAAAGAGATTTCTGATTACAGATTCTAATTATGTCACACCTAAAAATCTATCCTATATGACATGTTCTTCTGACAATTAAGCTGACATTTCTTTGGTCAAGAAGTGAGATCTATCCTCCTTTCCTTTGAGTATAGAAGGGTAATTAATATACTAACAAATTTAGACGTTGCTAGTATATTAAGTGTACAATTGTCATTTTACATTTATCTCCTATCCCATGAACTTGATGTATTCCTTTATTATATCTCTAAGTTTATTTGCAGATTCCTTAGCATTTTCCATCTACAGGTTCATGTCATCTTTAAGCAATAATCATTTTATTTCTTTCTTTCCATCTGGATACCATTTAAAAATTTATATTTGGGTCTGATTTCAATGCATAAAATTCTCAAGGACAATGTTGAAGATATATATATATTTCAAGAGCACATATTCTTATTCTGTGCACAGTGTTAGAATAAAAAAGTCTTTTACCGTGATATTAGTTTCTCACAGACATACTTTATCAGGTTGAGGAAGCTGCCTTTTATTTATTGTTTCTTGAGAGTTTTTATCACGAATGGACTAGGGTTTTGTCAAATGCAAATTCCAAGCCTATTGAGATAGCCTTGTAACATTTTGTTCTTCCTTGTATTAATATGGAGATTGTTCTTGGATGTTAAATCAACCTCGTGTCCCCAGGATAAACACCCATTCATCATAATATATTATCTGTATAACTTGCTGCTGGAATTAATTCGTTAATATTTTGTTAAGGAGTGTTTGTATTTATGTTTATAAGAAACAATAGTCAGTGATTTTGGCTTTTGTGATTTTTTAATTGGTTTTCGTATCAAGGCACATAGGATTCAGCGGTAAGTGCTTCCTCCTCTATTTCTGAAAGAGACTGTAAGAAAATGATATTATTTGTTCCTTAAATATTTGATAGAATTCCTCATGAAGCCACCTGGGTGTGGGCTTTACTTGATGAGGAGATTTTTCATTACAAGTTCATTTCTTAACTGTTTTAACTATGTTAAGATTTTCTGTTTATTCTTGAGTCAGTTTTGGTAATTTGCATTTTGTTGGAATTTGTCAATTTCACCTGTTAACTATGTTCTTGCATAAAGCAATTTAAAAGATTCCTTTATCATTTTCTATTTCATTTATAATGAGAAGTAGTTAATTCATTTCAGATTTAGGTAATTTATTATTTTCCTTTTTTTCTCTTAGTTTAGCTGTACATTAAAATATTAATGAAATAGGTTCTAAATCAAATAGACTCAAAATGCTATAGGATCTGACTCCGATATTATTGAAAGATAGAGAGAGGAAGATCTAACAAAGCATTGTGAAGGTATAAGGGACAAACATAGAATTATTTATTTGTTATCTGATATGAGCCTCAAATTAGTAACTAGCTATTAAATATAGGCAATGTGGAACAGTAATAATTGGAATTTAAATGGTTTCACTATTGGGAACTTAACACTTAATTGTGTAAGACTTTGATTATTTAATGTTTACTAGGTTCATAATTAAATTTCCTTCATAAGTATTCAACAGTAACTAATTTCCATATGGTGTTATTTTCAAATAATTGTATAATAATACTCATGCTGAATCAAGGTTAAATGAATTTCATCGTTGCTGCCCCAAATATTCATTAGATGAGTCAGTAAGAAAATAGGTCATTACTTTTCAAAATAATTTAGTACAATATATCTCTATATAAATTAAAGTATGCTGTATTACTCCTATGCATTATTCATTCTTGTGAAAATTTCAATTCATATTTGAGTACAATAGTTCTCAAACTGAGATGTTGTTGCTTCTTAAATGGCCACTTAAAAATATTAGGTGACGTTCTTAATGTTTAATTATGGAAAGTTTTGAAAATACATGATAGAAGAGAGAGTAATATTATTAAACAGATAAACTTGTTACTCATTTTCAACAATGTAAACATCTTTTTTGTTATTTTCTCTCTATTTGAACACTTATTTTGTATTGCCACAATGATGCCTTGTGACATTTAATCTTCAGGAAATTTAGATATTTCTAAATTAGATATTTCTAAATATCTGTAGGATATCTAGTGATCAGGGAAGTTTCACACAACAAAACATTGTCATAGCTAAAATGCCAATAGTACTTTTGGGGAAACACTGTTAATAAAAAAATTACAATATTAAGAATAAGTTTGGGACAATTTACTCATAACAGATATTAGAATCTATTTTGTAGGTTAGAAAATAATTTACAACTAGCAGAAGAGAATTAATTTCTGATAGATAAACCAGGCCTAAATTCATTTTAATAACTTTTTCTTATATTATAAAATAAATCTCTAGGAAAACTCCTGTCCCCTGTGGAAGATATACCATTGTCACACCAACTTAATAAAACAAAACTGTAATACTGAAATAAAGTAAAAAAGACATTCTCATTTTCATGTAGCTGCAGGACTCATACATTATATACTATGTAAAATAAAAAATAGAAACTGAGTTTTACATTACCCAGATGTTGAGTAGTTTAAGTTATTCACATTCATTTACTAAACTTTATAAAATGAATTAGTTGTCTTTTTGTAAGTACCTATATAATTGTCAAAGTGGTTTATTTTTTCATCTAAAGCTCAATATATAATAGATTTTAAGAGCATGAGCTGTGGAATCAGAACAGCTGGAATCAAAACCTAGCCTTACCACTTTTGACTTATGACATTTGAGAAATTACATCCCTGTCTCTTCAGAGTTTCACCTACACAAAGGAGATAAAAATAATGCCTATATCATAGTTGCTGTAAAGTCTAAATTAGTTCATGTTTGTAATGTGGCTTTGAATATTTGTACATTGCAAGCATTCTAAAGTATTAGGCATTAGGCATTGCTGTTGTTTGTAATTTCCAATTTCTTTAGAAAAGTAAAGTTAGTTTAACCAACTTGTTAACTTTTATTTATATTTTATACTGTGTAAATAATGGATAGCAATAACAGAAACAGATCTTGATCACCTCCACAAAGTATAAATGGTAATGAGTAATGATATTTACCAAAATTTATCAAACACCTTGTAAAATACCATCTCATTTAATGCAACAGCACTATGAAGCAGGGCCTATGAAAACCATGTATTTCATACAAGGAAACTGAGTTGAAGAAAGATGAAACAACTTGTGAAAACCGGGCCAAACAGTTTCTATTAAATAAGATAGTGGCTTGTGACCAATATCAATTTTTAAATAATATGTACTTTCTGAATAATTCTCCAAGATTATTAATCTACCTTTTATAAGCACGCCTGGTATTATAAGAACATACTATTTATACGCAATTTATGTTATCTGTGTAGGTATTGGTACAAATAATGGATTTCACTGTCATATGTGAATATCAGAATGCTGTTAAAGCTATTGTGTCAAACGCTTGTTATGTATTTTTTAAATGAATTTTAACTAAGCAAGATATTGTATACCTTTCAAAATCAGTCGTGTGGAATGATTTTGTATGCATTCTTTGAAGTATTCTAGATAGATGTCTAAAAGAATATTATAAGTCTTTGGTGGCTTTGCAGAAGAATTTAACTCATAAACCAATCAATGGAGAAGGTATGATGGAATAAACATGGTCTTTAGATTTTTATAATCCTGGGTTTGGATCTAAACTCCCCATTCATTTAGCTTTCTGCCTCTGAGCAAGAGGTCTTTTCAGCAAAACAGTTCATCCATCTGCAACACTTCATAAGGTAAAATTATATATTGCACAAGTTCAAACAGGTGCATTATTTTATGCTTTATTGATTTAATTATTTTCTAGTTTTATTCCGTAAATGACAGAGATCCAGATAATAATCCATAGGTGGGACCAAAACCTGTGATGGAATTTTGGCAGAAGCATCTTGTCAAACTGACAGTCTTTCTGATACTAGGAAGTAGGAAGAAGTAAGTTATTGCATAGAAGTTTATTACTTCCTTTTTTATCACCAGCAAGTAATTTAAGGAAGTATACTAGCTTTCCATAATCCATCTCTTAGTTCTACTTCCTTAAGTTTATTTTAATACTTTTCATTTATAAAGAGCCTTCTTTCCCCTTTTTTTTTTTTTTTGTTATAGTTCTTCTTTTCAGGAGGAATCTCCTAGGAGGAATCATTTTGAGTGAGTCATTTAAATATGTAGATCATCCAACCAATAACGTTTTCATTATGTGGGTACAACATAGACAATTTTTCATCTGGGGAAAAATATCACTGTTGGTAAGGATTGGTTCTGTGAACTAACCCTGGTATGATGGCTAAGTCATTCTTTTAGAAAGGGCTACACTTATGCTAAAATATCAATTAAATAGTTGGCCTTACTTTGGTATTGAATTCTAAAGATAAAAAGGATCCTTTATCATCTTGTAGTTGGAACCCCCAGGATTTCCTATAAGAAGGATTTTTTTTCATTCTATATAAAGGCTGATTTTTAAAAATGTAAATACTATTTATTGTAGAAGCAATAACTGACCGGATTTTGTAATCATCTTTTATCTTTATATGTTTTTAACAGGTAACCCTTTATTGACCAGCAAAGTCAATATACTGATTAATGTCTTAGATGTAAATGAATTTCCTCCAGAAATATCTGTGCCATATGAGACAGCCGTGTGTGAAAATGCCAAGCCAGGACAGGTATCTTATAAATATTGTTCCTTGAGTGTATAAAGACCCACCATATGCATGTTTTAAGTTATAAGTCCAGACATGAATATGCACACATATATTTGTTTTTCTGAATCAGAGCTTTCATAAAAGAAACCATAAAAGATTAATTAAACTCTTGTGAATTAATGATATAGATGAATGTATGTGGAGGTGATACCGCACAGATGAAGTACTGATTGCTTAGTGAAAGTTCTTTGTATAATTAAAGGTCTACACTTGTGGTTTCTGCTATGTTTTTCTATTCTCCTACTGTTGAATTTCTTTCCTTTTCTTTTCTTTTTTTTTTTTTTTTTCTTGATATGAAGTCTTGCTCTGTCACCCAGGCTGGAGTGTAATGGCACATTCTTGGCTCACTGCAACCTCTGCCTCCTGTGTTCAAGTGATTATCCTGTCTCAGCCTCCCAAGTAGCTGGGATTATAGGCATGCGCCACCATGCCCAGCTAATTTTTTGTATTTTTAATAGAGATGGGGTGTCTCCATGTTAGCCAGGCTGGACTCGAACTCCTGACCTCAAGTGACACACCTGCAAATTTCTTTCTTTTTTTTAATTTGTATTTATTTATTTATTTTGAGACAGAGTCTCGCTCTGTCACCCAGGCTGGAGTGCAGTGGCCTGATCTCTGCTCACTGCAACCTCCGCTTCCCGGATTCAAGCGATTTTTGTGCCTCAGCCTCCCGAGTAGCTGGGACTATAGGCGCGCGCAACCACGCCCAGCTAATTTTTTGTATTTTTGGTAGAGACGGGGTTTCACCATGTTAGCCAGGATGGTCTCAATCTCCTGACCTCGTGATCCGCCTGCCTCGGCCTCCCAAAGTGCTGGGATTACAGGCATGAGCCACCGCACCCAGCCCCCACACACAAATTTCTAAAGAACCTGTGACTGTAAACCCAGTAAGCAAGCCACTTTAGAGTGCATTTTCCCAGTATATTTCTTATTTTGCTCATTTGCTTGTATTAGTTGCACAACAAATCTTTTAATCTAACTTGAAAATGCAAAGCTTCCCTCTCTGGTGGCCTTGAGGAGAACATCTGGGTTATTTTAAATGTCTGACTTTCATTTTTCTTATGAAGTTAATATTATTCTGTGAAGATGTAGTTGTGGGAAGATGTTATGAGGAAAGAAGACCACAAAGTTAATGAAACTGATTGTGAAAGGTTTTATGTTAGGTGGTGGTAGGTTGCCATTTTTTCTTATTTTTTTCCTCCTAAAGTCTTATGAATGAATTTAGGAATAATATAAAAGGAATCAGGCATGGATATATGAAAAGATTATGTCATGAAACAAAAATATGTTTAATCTAATATTGTGGATCTGCATTCCAAATACAAAATGCATTGGTATGCTTTGGTTTGCTCTAGTTTTTGATCACCTTTAAATAGCGTAACTATTCACTTAAGTAAATTCGAAGTTTTATTTCTTACTTGAAATAAGTCTTGATATTTAAAACAGTATTTTTGTTGAAAAAAGTCGTTATTTAATCTTTAGTATCTTTTTCAATTTCCATGCTTTACATCACTTAGTAGAACCTTTGTCCCATAGTTCTAAACCTGTGATGTCTACTAGTTGTATAGCTATTAAAATAAAATTAAAATTACGTGAAACTAAAAACTATATTCTCATTCATACTAATCACATTTCAAGTGCTCAATTTGTGGTGAGCAGATATAATTTTGGTGACTGCAGACATAGAGTATTTTCATAACCATGGACATTTCTAGTGGACTGTGCTGCTCTACTCTTCCATTTGATAATGTGGGGACTCATTAATCTTCTGACATCACAACTTATTTTGTGATATTTTCTCAAGAAATCTGCATCGTTAATTTTGGATCGGCACAGAATGCACTTAAAATTTATCACCTTAAGTGCATCCACGATTTATATGGGATGAGCCTGCAGCTTTCTTTAGTTTCTGAAATCCTAGGTGCTACAAAAATATTTGGGCCTGAATAAATAACCTGATTTGGTTGTTTTGGGAGTTTGAAGAGGTTTACCAAAATTCCTCAAGTTAGCTATTTTCCACTTTCAGGATGCCTCACTAAACAAAGACAAAAAAAAAAAAAAAAAGCCAGTTCTTTAGCTTTTAGGTGGTTAAGGATATTAGTGATTTCAGATCAATTAGAATTTCATTTGTAATGCTCCAAATGGAAGCCTTTGGGAATAGAGCTCCATTTAATGTTTTATGTTTGTCCAATAAATTAAAGGATTTGATGAGTTGAGAAAAGGAAATTAGTTGAAATCAATGTTATTTTTTCATATCTGAATAAACTTTTGAGGAATATCTTGGATTCTTAGAGGCTCTTATTCTAAAATATATTTATGGGGTTTTTGTGTCCAATTGAGCCACACTTTTCTACAAAGCATAACCCTGAAATGTCCATTGAGTTTTCAGGGATGTAATATATGAGAAATTAATTGTAATATATTGTAATATATGAGAAATGTATATATGTTCTGTTTTTGAGCCCTGCCATTCTGCCCCTAGTCTAAGAACTATGCATACGAACTGTCTCTCCTGGATTATGCTACTATCTATTATCTACCTATCTATCATCTACATTTCATCTATTTATTCTGAAAAAAATAAGAAAAGGAGGAAAGATTATGCTATGTAAATCAGTACAAATTTAGATGGTAGTTGTTTTCCTCAGGGCAGGGACTTCCAAGCAACACTTCCAGATAAGTGCCAGTCTATAACAAAGTCTTTATATCTATATGCTATTCTAAAGGACTTTTCTTTATTCTAGTTATGTTCTTGATAGATTTTGATGTTATACATTTAATTTAGTAATGTTGCTAGTTTATAACAGAAGGATAACAAAGCAAAATTTAACAGCCAGGTATTAGTCCCCGGATAAGATACAGAGATTTTCTCAATGAAATTGAGTGATCTGCAGACATTGGTCTAAGTGAAGGAAAGTTGGTTTCATAGGGTCTGTATGTTGATTCATTGACTAAGTTGCCACATTCCATGATTTAGGCTTTGGTGCTGAATAATGAAATTCTCTCCAGGACAATTTTAAAGCTTAAATAGAGTCTGTGTGACTAATTCACACTAAGACAAGAAATCAAAATTCATACGAGAGGACCAATTAATTTGTTAAATTAGAAATTACTAATGCTGCACTGGATATCCAAGGTCCCAGTGATATCTATCATCTATCTATCTATCTATCTATCTATCTATCTATCTATCTATATCTATCCATCCATCCATCTACCTACCTACATATCTAACATCTATCTGTGTCTCTGTGTGTGCAGATAAACAGGAACATAGATCATAGTCATAGATTGGGTTTTAACTGAATCTCACGTTTAATAGCATCAGTGTAAGATCACATGATGCATGCTTTACACACTGGGACCAGGATATCCGTGTGTGAAATCTAGAGCCTTCCTCTTGCAGATTCAAATGTAGTCTGAGAGCATGATTATCTGGCCAACACTCTGCCCTTGTCATCTCTCACATAACACTTCCTGAAATTCTGTCTGATGCACAGCCATTGGATATGTTAATAAATAAATGCCTCAAAGCCATTCTTACTTGCTTATCTATTTAATGGATTGTAAATTTCACAGGTTGATTCTCAGAAGTTATTTTTATTCTCCAAGTATTTAAGGGCATTTTATTGAAGTACCAGGCTTTTAACTGTAAGATACACAACGTATGGAAGCAATTTAGGAAAAATTTTGTAACAGGAATGATAGTGCTTATTAAAAACTCTTTGAAAACACAATTTGTATTCCTACCGAATGAAGAAAAACATAACAAAAGCAGATATACAGCTTTTGTATCTCTATTTATCATTTTATTTATTTATGAAAATAGAGCCATTGTTACAAAACATAACTCATACTAAATTTTGCTATCACAAGGGCTTTTAGATAATCAGAGATTTTGTTTTCAGTAAGCATTTTCACATTCAGGCTAGAAAGCATTTATTTCATCTAATTTAAAATGCAAGCAAGTACATTTTAATTTTACTTTGCTTATTAGTGTGAATTTTTAATGCTGGTTACCTTTTTAGTTACGCAGGTATCAATTTGAAATTAGCCCATGTTCTATAATTGTACCTGTCGTTATTCCCTGTAAATGTTAGAAATTTGTTTATAAACATTATGTGTAAATAATTGACCTACTGGTATTGATTCAAAAAGTGCCATTTCTGTCTACTTGCATGCTTCATTAAATACATTTAGTAGCCTGCTGTGTAAAGTCCTCTTTGAAACTGATGACCGACTTTAATCTCAACTCTGTTGCAGATAATTCAGATAGTCAGTGCTGCAGACCGAGATCTTTCACCTGCTGGGCAACAATTCTCCTTTAGATTATCACCTGAGGCTGCTATCAAACCAAATTTTACAGTTCGTGACTTCAGAAGTAAGTGTAACTACAGAAAAATTTACCTCTTATCATGTATCTTTGTAAAAAGGCACAAAGGGAGGAATCAATACTTTTCTTTGAAGCACTTAATTTCATAAAATATGAGATCCTTACATGAGAAAGGCAATATTCTGTACCTAGTAGTAAATTAAATATTTAATCTATACAGACTGTCTAGTAAGGCAGGTTGCTTGCATTGTAAATGTGGACAGTCTCTCAATGAGTCAAGCAAATAAAAGACTCTCTGAGAAATTGAATGCTTTCCCTGTTTTAAACATATCATTTGTCCCAAATATACATTACTTATACTAACTAACAGGGAGCTCTTTAGTAACTGTTTTATTAGAATAACACACCGTACAGCACAGGTTAAGAATGCAGGTATTATAAAGACACGTGCACACAAATGTTCATTGCAGCACTATTCACAATAGCAAAGACAGAATCGACCTAAATGCCCATCAGTGACAGACTGGATGAAGAAAATGTGGTACATATATATACACCATGGAATGCTATGCAGCCGTAAGAAAGAATGAGATCATGTCTTTTGTAGGAACATGGATGGAGCTGGAGGCTATTATCTTTAGCAAACTAACACAGGAACAGAAGATCAAATACTGCATGTTCTCACTTATAAGTGGGAGCTCAATGATAAGAACTTAGGAACTCAAACAAGGAAACAACAAGCCTTGGAGTCTACTTGAGGGGTGAGGATGGGAGGAGGGAAAGGAGCAGAAAAGATAACTATTGGGTATTGGGCTTAAGACCTGGGTGATGAAATAATACATACAACAAACCCCCATGACACGTGTTTACCTATGTAACACACCTTCACGTTACCCTCAAATCTAAAATAAACGTTAAAAAATAAATAAATAATAAATAAATTTAAAGAATGCAGGTATTATATTTGACATGACATAGGTTTGCATTTTTGTTCCATACTACCAAAATGACAGATTCTTAATGTATACAATTTTACTAAATCAAGTCAACCTCATAATATTTTTTATTAAATAAAATCATATTTGCAAAGCCTTAACAAAATGCCTAAAACATGTTACCATCAAGATCATTTTAGCCACCACCAATGCCATCATGGTTTACACTTATACTTTTATTTATTTATTTATTTAGAGGGAGGGAGAGACATGGTTTGCATAGTTTATAATGAGAATTTGCTACTTAAAGACTAATGAAGAGGAAGGAAAGAATGAAACTCTTTAAAAATAAATTTGTGTAAAATTTGTCTTTACACATTACTGTAAATGAAACTCTAATCATTAAAAAAAAAGCCACTTAACAATTACAGATAAAAAATTCTACCTGCAAAGAATAGAAACATTATACTTTAAATGTGGACTATATCTATTATTTAACATGATATGGAATACAACTTTTTTTAATTTAATTTTACTTTTTAAAATTTTAGATTCAGGTGCAGCACTGAATCCTAGCACTTTGTTACATGGGTATATTTCATGATGCTGAGGTTTGGGCTTCTATGATCCCATTGCTGAAGTAGTGAACCTAGTACCTGATAAGCAGTTTTTTTAACCCTTTGTCTCCTCCCTTTCTCCCCGTTTTTGGCATGCCCAGTGTTAGTTGTTGCCATCTTTGTGTTCTGTGTTCCCAAAGTTTAGCTCCCTTTTATAAGTAAGAGTATATGGTGTTTCGTTTTCTGCTTCTGTATCAATTTGCTTAGGATAATGTCTTCCAGATGCATCCATGTTGCTGCACAGAACATGATTTCATTCTTTTTTATGGCTGTGAACTATTGCATGGTGTACACTTATTCTTCTACTACCACTGCTATTGCCATCAATCCTACTGCTGCTACTACTGCTAACGCTACTACATTTGCTACAATTACAACCATTACAAAAATATAAAGGACACTGGATTAGAAATATTAAGGTTGAGTATCAATCAGTATCTCTGACTTTATTAGGTCTGTAACCTTGGGTATTTTATGTCCTCTAAGTTTCCATATTCTCTAAAATAATCATCAAAACACCTGATTTTATAACCTGATAATAAAAAGATAAATTTTTATAAATTCTATGCATATAGAACAAGTGAACAAATTGTATTGAGATGGTGATGATGATGATAGAATCAGAGGATATTTTGAAGAGATTAGTTTGCTACAATGATTAGGCAAAGAAAGTCAGAGTCTCCACAAAATCAGAGTCTCCACATTTTATCACTGAAGCAAGTTGAGTAGAGTTTGAATAAAATATGCAATGTGAGAAATGGCCATAAGACAAACAGCAGTCCAATCTTGAAGTTATTTATAATGAGAGTGACCACATATTTTATCATAAAGACTGAAACACTTATAAAAAAGGGGGAAATATTTATAATGTTATGTCACAGCAGCACACATAAAATAGGTCTGTCTAAGACAAACTGGACCATATGAGGACCCTATCCAGAAGCCATTTCAGGAGATAACTTAAACCAATAATGTTAGTAGTCTTTGAAAGGTTTAAGCAAGAATATAACATATTCATATTTACATTATAGGGAAATCTGCTTGGATGTAGCATGGAAAATATATCATAGGGAGATAAAACTAGTTCAGATGTCATTGCAGTAAATGGGTGAGAGCCTTAGATTAGGGTACTGACTGTGAAGATGGAGACAAATGGATGGAAATAGAATTGATAAGACTTCATGATAGATGCCCTAGATTCAATATGTGTATATCATGTAATAAGACAAAATAGATTTCCAGGTCTTAGGCTTCAGCAACTAGGTAGATAGTCACATCATTCACCAAACCCAAGTGTTGACTATTTTCCACAACGTATCTTTGCTGAAAGAGCTATTTCAGATTAATCATGTTAATGGGAACCACATGATACTGACTTATAGCAGAGTGCTTTCTCATGGACTAGACATGTACTTGTCACAAAATTTCAGGTGCCATTTACCATGTTCCTTGTTTTATAATGAATTAGATTTGTAAGGTATTTTTAGTGAAAAGAAAGCATTTAGAGAGGAAATAAAATATAGTATGTCTTTTTCTTCTCACTATGGACATCACAATAAATTTGTTATGGTCAATTTTCAATAAATAATAAATTGGGCTGGGTGCGGTGGCTCACTTTGGGAGGCCAAGGTGGACAGATCACCTGAGGTCAGAAGTTCGAGACCAGCCTGGCCAACATGGTGAAACCCCATCTCTCCTAAAAATACAAAAATTCGCTGGGCGTGGTGGCAGGCACCTGTAGTCCCAGCTACTTAGGAGGGTGAGGCAGGAGAATCGCTTGAACCCAGGAGGCGGAGGTTGCAGTGAGCCGAGATTGATCCACTGTACTCCAGCCTGGGCGACAGAGTGAAACTCCATCTCAAAATAAATAAATAAATTGAAAATAAACATTTTAAAAAGGGTTAGGCTGCCATTTGACACATACATTGAGTTCAAGAATACCAAATCCCTACCTTCTCCCAAGTGCAGACACACCAGACATTCTATTTCTATTAGTCATTTTCACTCAGATTATGAACTTTATTCCTAGCCTGTTCCTTTTCCGCGGACTCAAGTGTTCAACCATCAATTGCTGAAGATTTAAATGTTGATTCAATTAATATCCATTTGTTCATCCCTAATCATATCCCATAAAGTTTTCTCGTCTTGGTGCTTCCTATTGCTGAAGAACCTGCCTCAATTTCAGTGGTTGAATTTAAAGTCTGCCAATAGAAAAATGGAATCTGATTGAAATAGTAACATATTTGTGACAGACCTGCACAACTGTAATATATTATACACTTTTAAAAATTATCTCACCTTATTCTCAAGTGTTATGCATAGCTATAATAAACTACATATTGTCACATTTCTAAAAATAACAAAGCGTTTCTAGGGGTTACTGTGACACACAAATGAAATATTGTTATTCATAAAACAAAATTTCTGCTTATTTGTGTAGAAATAAAAGAGCAAATGCATGCAAAAGAGCACTTTCAATAGAAGTATTAATTGCATTTATATAAAAATAGTAATTTTTATTGTCTCACATTATTGCAAGTAAACATTATTGTTTTTGAATTAACCAGAATTACAATGAGTTACTTTTTAAATCATATTAAAGTAGTCATTGTTATAGTTCAAGGTGTTTACAATTTTTAATGTTTTTAACAAATCTTATTTTCCTTTCCATGTTTCTTATTCCAGCTGATATGCAGAGGTGAAAGTATTCCCATACATACAAACATATATAACATATATTTATAAACATATATACATATACAACATGTAGATAGAAAAATCCTTAATTTAAAATAGTCAATTGGTTTTAATATAGTTTAAAGAATAGGTTCTTATTTGAGATAATTTACAGATTCATAGTTTGTAATATTTTCTATTATGCATGAAACTATTTACAAAACTATTTTTTAATGAGATTGCAATGTCATAAAAAAATTGATCAATTTAACACACTTTCTGTCTTGTAAAGCATTCCATAATCTTTCTGAATAGAAAATTTAATTCTTCTATCAGACAAGATTAATGTTTGTTTTTCCTCTAAGGATTATTTTGATTATATTTTGGCAGTTTTCATAATGTGAACAGAAATAAAAAAAATAAGAATCCATTTTCCTGATTCAAGAAGAGCTTCTTACTATTGAGCAGATACCAACTTGAAGATTTGAAGTGAAGCTTATAGTAACCATGTTACCATAAATGTCATGTTTTGTAGACAACACAGCGGGGATTGAAACCCGAAGAAATGGATACAGCCGCAGGCAGCAAGAGTTGTATTTCCTCCCTGTTGTAATAGAAGACAGCAGCTACCCTGTCCAGAGCAGCACAAACACAATGACTATTCGAGTCTGTAGATGTGACTCTGATGGCACCATCCTGTCTTGTAATGTGGAAGCAATTTTTCTACCTGTAGGACTTAGCACTGGGGCGTTGATTGCAATTCTACTATGCATTGTTATACTCTTAGGTTGGTTTCAATATTAATCATTGTTAATTTTTTCTCGCTCTCTCTTCCTTTTTTTCCCCTCTCTCTCCTCCATCTCTCTCCTCAATTTATCATGTAAACAAGTTTTTATTCATTGACATGTCATACCTAGCTAGAAGATAATCTATGTGTATTGAATTAAATTGTTATTAATGCTATTTTTCTATTTCATACTTCTTGGATATATATTATTGGGGATAAATAAATAACATCATAAAATAAACACCAAAAATATGTTCAAGACCTAAGAGATTTTCTAGTAATAATAGTTTGTGACCCTTGTCACAATGAAATCCTCTTTAATAAATATCCATTTACAACAACTTCTCAATTTGTTTTACTTCCTAGTAATTGCTGCTGTCTAATAAGAGATTATGTCATCTTTTAAAAAATATACTTGATGAACAGTGGTTCTCAAATTCCAGTTCAATAAAGAAAGGAAGATAAAAGAGCGAACAGAAAGAAACAGAATGTAAAGTAATCCTCAAATTTGTCTTTTCTGTTTAAACTGCCATCCATAAGTAATTCTTCCACTTTCTTGCATCTCCTTACATCAAAATTCTAACCATTCCCACTAGAACAGAACAGACTAAAATATCTGGAAACACTCCAAAGCAAAATGATTGGAGTAAATGTATTCTATAATATCTCTGTGAGAGTGAATATAAACCTATTAGGAAGTTCCCTCTTCCATGAACTCTGTTCAGCTTCTCCATTTATTAATTCACTGCCAGATTGACAAAAGTAGAGAGAGATTTTCTATTATGCCTCATTCCTTTAAAATCAAATGACAACAGATATACAACTGGGTATTGTGGAATCAAATTATGTATGCATATTTACTGTTTAACCAAAAATAATCTGACAAATATGGACACCTGACTTTATCTCTAGGAAAGAAAAAAAAATAATTAGTGAGATGAAAGGCACGGAGTAACGCGTTATATGGTAGCTTGTGGAGAGCACTCCCTGAGTCAGAAGTTCATGCTGACGTAGAAGGTGAAATTCTAGTCCAATTGGCATGGTGTAGATATTAATTCCACGTGAGAAACTTTGGTGTGCAGAGCAAAGTATTCTTTATATCCTTATAATTCATAATAAATTATCCCTGGCATCTTTTGTGTTAATATAAACCTTAAGGACACATTCCAAGTAATATTTTCACATCTGAAATTTAACAAGATCATTTAGGTGTTTAACATCAAATGAAGTATTTCTCTCTCATATGCCTCTCTTCTCTTGTAGCTGAGTCCTGGAGTATTCCTATATTTTGAAAGTTGTAAGAGTCAAAATGGAGTCACTAATGTCAAGAAAACCCTGACAAATAGAGCTAGGGAAGACCATGGAGAGAGGGTTTTCACCCTTATATGCCTGTAATGAAAAAGACTGTAAAAATCACAACCCCGCACAAAGGCCATCACAACCTTATACAAAATCATTTCTGCCGGAACATCTGCCCAGCAACTGCCTGTCCAATGTTGGACTGGCATCACCCTTGTTATTAATCTTTGTAGTCAAGGATAATTATTTAAAACAATTATGTATCCTCCTCGTTTTTTTCTTTGAAAACCTTTGTCTTCCTTTATCTCTTGAACACACACATAGTTTACTATGGCACTCACATTCCCATTGCTATACTCTATTTCCAAATAAATATATTTTATTTCAGAGAAACTCTTTCTGTTTGTTATTTGAGTTGACAGTATCAACCTAACATGGCTTGGTATGTTCTGGCCGTCATACACTGTAGCAAGTAATCTGCTCAGGTCATCTTTATCATGTACTACCATCTGCCACTCATTTATCCAAATACTTCCAGAGCGTCCACAGAGCACCAGCACTATTCTAGGCATGGTGAATTTTTGGTATACAGCAGTGTATATTGACACTCTTTGTCCTGTCATAGGGTCTGCTTAAAATCCATCTAATCTTTGACCTCCTTGAGCAATCTCACACTCCTTTAGGTCCCCTAGCTTGTTCTCAGCCATTCTCATGTCCTTTGTGGGGTGAGAGAAAGAACAGAAAGGTATGGTGCTTGGGTCCCTTTTAAATGGACCTCAGGCACATCCAGCTAGTTTCTTTCTCAGCCATGGTGATTCTGAACTCATTTTATGTATGGGGCTGCTCCATGAGGTCTGCAGTCTCTCACATACTTGGTAGAGGAACAAACAATCATGTCCTTTGTTCTGAGATTCCATAAACTCTTGGGAGGAGTGCAGGGTGCTAAACGTCTCCCAAGGCCCACTGTACAGAAACTCTACCTAGATCTCCTCTCTCCTTCCAACTGGTCCATCTCTAATTTTGGAGGAAGAGAGAATAAATGAAATTTTATCATCATGCATTCTTCTCTACTTTATAATTCTATGACAGGTGTCTTCCAGACTCTGCTCTGGTAAATCAAACACACATTAGCTTTCACCTGTTGACACCACTATGGAGGAGAGGGGTTATTATGACAAGAAAAGCTGAGCACTGACGTCGTCATTTGTATCTGTGCCTATTCATGCATAGTAGAAATAAACACCATTGATTTAGTGGAGAGCTTTAAATCAACTGGGAATAAAGAGAGATTTTGATAATAAAAGTACATAAATTAACAATTTTAAAATATTGTTTTATGAAGGTAACCTGAATTCTAGGCACTTGTTTTAAAAACTTTCTCAATATGGCAGGACACAGAATTGAAATTAATGCTTTAGTTTGTAAGATTTATAAAACTAAGGTCCTTAACATCTTCCTTCCTTCCTTCCTCCTTCCTCTACTTCCTTCCTTCCTCTACTTCCTTTCTTCCTCTACTTCCTTCCTTCTTTCCTTTCTTCCTTCCTTCCTCTACTTCCTCTACTTCTCTCTTTCTTATTTATTGCCTTTAAAAATAATGGTCACAGTGAAGATTTGGGCTTATCGCATAAGAAACATAAATTTCTAATTTAAAATTAGGAATGTTCCAATTGGGAAGTTAGCAATGAATGGTAGTCTTATTTATGGATGATAATATTCAAGTTTTCTTATATTCTTACAATTTTCTGTATGAGTGGAAGAACTACTATTTCCTTTTTTCTTTTGTTGCAACACACACTTTTACCAGACCCTAAAATACTTTAATATAAAGACATACTTGTTTCATTTTGTGAATAACTTTGCTATGGTTTCTTGTTAGTTAACAATTTCAAAATTTAAACATATGTATGATCCTATTGATTATGGTATGTTTACTATGAAAGTAACAGGAGGTCATTCACGAAACTCAGCCACCCCTAATCATTTTTAATTTTTATGGAGAGATGAAATGACCTATCTGCTTTCTATTCTCAAATTGCAATTTTTGTCTTGTTCCAGCCATAGTTGTACTGTATGTAGCACTGCGAAGGCAGAAGAAAAAAGACACCCTGATGACCTCTAAAGAAGACATCAGAGACAACGTCATCCATTACGATGATGAAGGAGGTGGGGAGGAAGATACCCAGGCTTTCGACATCGGGGCTCTGAGAAACCCAAAAGTGATTGAGGAGAACAAAATTCGCAGGGATATAAAACCAGACTCTCTCTGTTTACCTCGTCAGAGACCACCCATGGAAGATAACACAGACATAAGGGATTTCATTCATCAAAGGCTACAGGAAAATGATGTGGATCCAACTGCCCCACCATACGATTCACTGGCCACATATGCCTACGAAGGGAGTGGGTCCGTGGCAGAGTCCCTCAGCTCTATAGACTCTCTCACCACAGAAGCCGACCAGGACTATGACTATCTGACAGACTGGGGACCCCGCTTTAAAGTCTTGGCAGACATGTTTGGCGAAGAAGAGAGTTATAACCCTGATAAAGTCACTTAAGGGAGTCGTGGAGGCTAAAATACAACCGAGAGGGGAGATTTTTAAAAAAGAAAAAGAAACACAAATATTAATAGAAATCTCTCTCACACACACACACACACACAAACACACACACACACACACACACTCTGGGACAAGATTCCTTTGATTACCTGGTTTCTAGTAAGTTACTAAATTAATCATATTGTCAGTTTTGGTTTATTCTGCCAACAAGAGATACATCCTATAATGTGTACTTGCTTTGTTTTGTTGTTTTGTTTTTTCACAATCACACTGAGACAAGCTCAGGCCTATTCAATACAATTTACTGACATGACAACCTAGAACGAAGATAGCTATGTGGCATCACGGTGGAAGAGTGTTAGATTTTTCTTAATTCCACTAAAGTGCCTATTGAAACTCTTATCATTTAAAGTGGTGTACAGTACACTCTGCTGTGATGGTATTGCGGGATTCAGAGATAAAGACATAAAACAAAGACACCGTCTTTATGTCAAGAAGCAATAGCGACACTCTGACTCTCCTCATTCCTTTTGAGAACAAAAGAAGAACACTTTCTGATCTCCACCTTCTTCTAATTCAAAAGGTTTTCTTTTTCTTTTTTAAACTGTATGCTAAAACGTATTTGTTTATCCTATCCTTTCAGAAAATTGAAATAAATATGAAAATATCAAGTTCAATATGTAAGTCCCAAATTCTAGAAACAATGTTTGATCTTAACATTAGTTCACATTAAAGCTGTTCATTAAAATGTTACTTTCTTTTCCAAAAAAAAAAGAAAGAAAAAAAAGAAAAAATATTCCTCTTTATAAAGAGAGGCCTCAGGGCTCAAATTACACATTAAAATAAATATTGGTTTTGCTTAATATTGTACTGGTGTGTGGAAAATTGGTTTTAACAGTCACCAGATTCAGCTTTTAGTCATAGATGTAATTTCAAGTTGTGTTTCTATGAAAATTCTTAGAAGAAAAAAGTGCCATTCATTTAAGCATGGAAAGAGAAATTCATTATACAGTTTCTCAGAGTTTCTTACAATCTAGTGATTCTTTGATGAGCAGCAAAAATAAAATACATATCAAATAATAGAGGATGGATTTATAAGATGTCTAAAAATATTTGTTATACATTATTGAAAAAAATAAAAAATCAGGGACTTAAAAAAGTTCAAACCAATGACTGAATCCTAAAATGAACGTAAATTCAATTTCAGGCAGCTGATATACTTACTTTACTTACATGGACTTCAACTTTGTGAGCACCATTATTATATTGGAGCTCATAGTTACCTCTTTGTTCTCTCATCTACAAAAATCTTAATGTAAATTATCCCTTACAAATTCCGTGTAATGATGCAAATTTCTAAGTAATATTAGATTTTATAAGCGCATTAGTAAACTAAACTCACATACATTGCTTTCAAGCGGATTGCACACTAGCGTGGAAAACATAAAAAGATGCAAACTAATTACAAAATAATATATTTTATATGAATATGATAACTACTTAAGTGACTACTCTAATATTGTCACTATATATATGAAAAAAATTAAAGTTGCTTATGGGTCCATCCTGAAGATATGGTCACTATCTAGCTGGGTTTATGAAATACTTATAGATATATTTAATATTTGCAAGGTTTTGAAGCTAAAAATTTACACATGACAAAAACAGGCAGAAATATAGACAACACAAGAAAATCATATTCACCGTTATTCATTTATAAATACATCCTTTAAAATGATCCAACTACTCACTATGCTGTGGCAATGGGGGCATTTGAATTCACATTCCCCATTTCTTTGTTGATATCTCCCAGTTGCATATTCTCATTTTCTCCCTCTCAGGAATGGCTGTTGAACTTGTTTTCTTCCATCTCATCCCAATTTTACCTTTGTCTATCCCAAGAACTGCATTATAATATTGATGTAGTGTGATAATTTATAGTATGTTTGGGAAAGTATTTACATAACATGTTTTAAAAGCTGGTGATGCCATAACCATCCTAGAGAGAAAAATTAGGACAATTTTGGGATTTGCCTTAGCAACATGATTTGCTATGGATTGATATATAACCCCTGAAGAAGCTTACTATGCAAGATTACTTCTGATAGACAAAAAGATTCCCATCAGGAATTGCTGCATTTTGCATTTTGCTAGGAAATCTAACTGCCTCTGCATGAGATCATTTGGCAGAAGCAACGGTAGCATGGAGAAAACTTGTGAGGGGCAGGTCATTTCAAACTTCATGGCTGAGGTGCTAAACAAAAATATGAAATAAGTAGATCTTATTTTCACCAAACTGTTAAATACTTTTGAGTACATCCGGCTTTTATTTTTGCCACACCACTGCATTCCTTTGCTAGGTCTGCCATAACAAAATATCACAGACTGAGTGACTTAACCGAAATGTATTTTCTCACAATTCTGGAGGCAAAACATCCAAGATCAAGGTGTTGACAGAGTTGATTTCTCCTGGGAGTCCCTCCTTGGCTTGCCCATGGCCGTCTTCTCTCTGTGTGTTCACATGGTACTCCCTCTGTGCTTACTCATGTCCTAATTGCTCTTCTTATAAAATACACCAGGCCGGGCGCGGTGCCTGTAATCCCAGCACTTTGGGAGGCCAAGGTACATGGATCACCTGAGGTCAGGAGTTCAAGACCAGCCTGGCCAACATGGCGAAACCCTGTCTCTACCAAAAACACAAAAATTAGCTGGGCGTGGTGACAGGCACCTGTAATCCCAGCTAGTCCAGAGGCTGAGGCAGACAGAATTGCTTAAAACCCAGGGGGCAGAGGTTGCAGTGAGCTGAGTTGTCACCACTGCATTCCAGCCTCGGCAATAGAGTGAGACTCTCTCTCAAAACCAACAAACAAACAAACAAAAACAAAAAAAAGATGCCAGTTATACTGTATTAGGACCCACCCATAATAGCTCTTTTTATCTTGATTACCTCTATAAAGGCTCTGTCTCCAAATATAATCACATTGTGAGTTGCTGGGATTTAGGACTTCAACATATGATTTTTGAAGAGACACAATTCGGCCCATATCAATCACACAGGTGTTCATCATATTTTCTTTTTTAAAAACTGGCTTGGTTTAAAACACACACAAAAAAACCCAAATATATGGAAAAAAATGAATAGAAATGATTTCAGATACAATGGGTCACCAGAGGAGAGATATGGGGAAAAGAGGTCTTTGGTGCTCGTAAATATAAATATTATGGGATACATTTTATGCTATGACATCACACTAGGCCTAATATTTCAATACTTATAACATGTTGGGTTCTGTTTTATTTATAATAACAAAATTACTGACCTTCATTTAAGCATTAAGCACTATAAAAATGTTTAGAATTTATATGGGGAATTTTGACTATTAATAATAATTAAACCATAATTTTGTTATTGCCTTGCATGTTTACTTTTATAGAAGTATGTATGTATGTATTATATGTAACATATGTGTGTTACTTATATCTATTTTTAAATGTTACATTTAATTATATTCAATGAAGTATTAGATCAACACATATGAGTGAAACGATGTGATATGCTAGAAATGATCTAAAATTACTTTTGTACCAAATTCTCACCAGAAATATGGGTCAAGCTCCTTAGCCTCCCAGTGTTCTGTTTTCTTTGGCAAAATTAATTTGTTGAACTTAGTGTTGTACAAATTTCCTCTAAAATGTCTTGATTCTGAAATTCTAGTGACAATCTTATGAAGTTCACTAAATCATTTAAATATTGACTACATATAATTATGAGAATCACAGAGAACCTTTAAGCATAATATAAGAATTAGGAATCTTTGAACTATGGATTGCATTGGTTATACATTAAAACTCACCGCTTCTACAACATAAGAGGAGCCAGACAAACATTTCCTAGGTGCAAATGTCAAAATTCTTCTGCAAGATTGAAAAGCAGAGGTGTACATATGAAAAGAGAGAAAAAAGTGTTAAAATAGTTAGGCCCAGATCTTGAGCCAAACAGGATAAACAAATGGTAGGAAGAAAAAATTAGAAGGGATGTGCTATTGCCCACAGAAATCCTTGGAAAATTTCAGTAACTATTTTATTAAAAATGGGAATTCCTAAAACCACATGTCAATACGCAGGCCTTATATTTGAAGTGACCCCTAAGTTATTACTAGACCTGAAGAAAGAGTTTATTAAATGTCAATAAACAGCCTGAGTTTGGTTACTAAAGGAAGGGACATGTGTATGTGGTGGTAGGTGTGTGTTATTTTCATAAATTACTCCTTCCTTGAATTTATTTATTTATTTATTTATTTATTTATTTATTTATTTGCCTCATCAATCTGTAGTTTGGCTAGGTACATAATTCTCATTTGAATTATGTTTTTTAAATGATTTCCTCAATATTCTGAAAACAGTTTCTCTCATATTTTAGCATCCAACTGAGGTGATGAGATAGCATAGTGACCATGTCATTCTTTTCTATGTGATATGGTTTTTTGCATAATGGTCTTCTTTTTTTTATCCTTATTGTTATAAAATTTCACATGGACGAGTCAAGAGGAGTTTTTTTTGGTCATTCTCAGGACTTGGTATTCCATGACCCCTTTCAACAAAGAGCTTCAGAACCTTTAGTTCTGAGATATTTTTCCTGCAATCATTCTTCAATAGTTTCCTACCCTGCGTTTTTCTGTTATCTCTGTGGAATTTTGAATCTTTGGTTTTTGGATGTTCTAGGTTTAAGCACTAATTATATTTTAACTATCACTTTCTGTCTTATACTTTATTTTCATGGTGATATTTTCCTCTTTGTCTTCTAGTTCTATTGATTTTTTTTTGTAGTGGTTTTTTTAAAAAAAATGTTAATTTCAGGAGTATTTTGTTGTTCTGTTCTCTGTCTTTTTTTATATTATTCTGCTCTTACTTTTAGATCAGTCTTTTCTTGACTCACTCTGATGATGTTAATTGCAGCTTTTTACATTTTGTAATCCTATTTTTTTCCTCCGAATTATGTTCTTCAAACACAGCATGGGAAAGGGAGCTACAGACTTCCATTCTACTTTATTCTAGTTCACCCTCATGTCTCATTCCAGTTTTCTGCCATATGATATGTCCAAATCATGACACATCCTAGGATTGTGATGAGAAGATAAGTTTTCTACTGAGCTGCAACACTGATTCCCTAGTCTGCAAATTTTCTGCCCAGCTTCACCCACTATTGTTCTGTTAGCCTTCCAAACATTTACGCAAAATATTTGTCTGCTAATGGACCTTATGGCATTCTCTTTATTTTTGTGGGGATACACACATACGCACACACATATACAAAAACATGTATATGCACATATACATAACATAGAAATAATATATAGAAAGTTTTTATAAATATATATTCTTTTATCTTCAACTTATAATATCATAAGTTTTTCTTAGTTTGAAAAGGATATAAAATGAAATACAATCAGTCATAATGACCCAAAATCTGAAAAAGAAATCTGATCATTTTATTTTATATCCATTGTTATAAAAAAAGAGGTTAATTCTAGTGTGTATGTGTATTACACACACACATATACACATATATATGTATTTACGTGTGTATAAGTCCAGTTTGCATTGTGGACTGCCACTTAAGCCTTTAATTATTTATTTTCTTAAAAACCAATTGTCACGGATTTTCATAACAATCAATTTTATTTACTAAATTTCTCAAAAGTTCTTAAACTTTATTAGGGTTTAATTGTATGTCGTTTTAATTGTCCCACTTTAAAATAAAAAGAAAAAATAGAAGGCAAGAGTGCCCAAACGACTTGGGCAAAACCATGAAATAATAAACAACTATAGGGTAAAGCCCTTTTCTTAATTGTGAATAATTAAATAACTCTTATCTAAACTTTCACTCTGATGCTTTTTCCCTTCTTTTTGTAACTTCTACACTATTATTTGTTACACTGTAATGGCAAGGTAAATTAACATGGATCTCTGGGAATTATGGATCATACTACAATATATTGTTATACTTCCTTATAAAGAAGAAATAACCTAAACATTATTTATTCTTATGTCAATATCTTACTCAAGAAGCAAGAATGAAGGACACAATAGGTTTCCATAGTACAGGTGAAAACTCTGTTATACAATGGAAAATATTCATGTCTATATTACCAAGAATTCAATGTATTTGAAGCTAAATCACTTTGCACCTCCTTTTAAACATTGACATTTACCATCTCAACACTACCCTGACCTTAACTTAGTTGGACTTTTCAATCTAATTATGTCTAATTTCATGTCTTTTTAGCTTCCCATAGGTGTAGCTATACCTTAGCCCACATCATCACTTAAATCTCTAAAATGGAATTTATTTAGTCTCTTCCTATCCATTTTTCTATGGATATGGTGTTTGCCATGACTCAAAATTACATGAAACAATCAGGAATTCTTTCTTTCTTCTCTTCTGCTCTGCTGGGTTTTTTTAAGTAATAGCAATAATAGAGCTACTAATCATTGAGCATATGCTATGTAGACAATTATGCTACAAGCATTTAAGGCTTACTTGATGAGCCACATATTACCATTATATTTATTTTACATATGAGTAAATTAGGCTTGAATAGGTGAAGTAACATGTCTGTTTAGTCACAACTGACAAGTGGCAGAGCCAGGACACTAGCAGAATTATGATATGCACACGCCACCCCTTTACCCATGAGATACAGCATATTGCACTCTCCTGCCTCACTCCTTTATAACTGGGTAACAACCTGAAATCTGTTTCTTTGAAGTTCACTAATAACTTTATAATTTAAAAACTTCAGTGTTCCTTTCTTTCATCTCCCTGATGTTTCTGTAGAGTTAATCACATGCTCATATCTCATCTTCAAGCTTCTTCCACCTTTTTGTTCACACATTTTTTTCTTTCCTCTTTTAAGGCTTCATATACCTCTCACACAGCCTACAAAAATAATCCCACAGAGCTCTCCCTTCTGTTCTCATTTCTTTTTTATATCATTGACATTTGGAGGCCTCTTGTTATAATAGCAATTTTCATCTCTGTATAAATACTATTCAAATGATCCTTAAATGTGTATTTATACGTTTTCCCTTTCAGTAAGATGACGGAGTTTTAGTTGCACATATTTGCTATCTTCTGAACACCACCTGGCCAATCTAATCCATTGGCTTTGAATTCATGAGATCCAAGTCTATATCCTCCTTTCTCCAAGTTTAGTATTTCTGTTGTTACTTGGGATCTGAACTATCCTCCTGTGCTTGCTCTTTCTCTGTTTCCTCTCCTCCTCTCCTCCCCTCTCTTCTCCTCTCACCTTCCCTCTCCTCTCCTCTCCTCTCCCATCCTTTTCCCTGTTTTATCTGTTCCATTTCTGATGGGATATTTATGATCTTCTTTTCCATGCTGTTGTTAAAAAAAAAACAATGCATTGCTATTCTACTCTTCAAATAACAGTTTAAAACACACACTCTTAAAATTACTAAGATGGTACAGAAAATAACTGTGCATTTCATACCCAGTTTCCCCTAACAACTTCCATTATTACAGTATGGTTATCATAATTAATATAATTATTGAACCAATACTGATGCCTTGTTAATTACATTCTATACTATTTTACATTTTTATTTTTACCTAATATGCTTTTATTGTGTTGTTGTCTTAGGATCCTATCCACAATATGCTACTGCATGTAGTCATCAGGTTTCTTTAGGGTTCTCTTGGCTGTGCTACTTTTGCAGGCTTTCCTCATTTTTAATGGTCTTGAGAGTCTTCAGGATTAGTGGCCAGGTATTTCATAGAATGTCTCTCAATTGGTATTAATATGACTTTTCCCTCTTGTGATTAGACTGGCAGTATGGGTTTTAGGGAAGAAGACCACAGAGGTAAAGTGCCATTCTCATCACATCATATCAGAGGAACATGCTACCAAAATGACTTATCACTGTTGACATTCACTTTGATCATCTTGCTGAAATAGTTTGTCAGCTTTCTTCACTATAAATTATTCATTTTTCCCCAACTGCTTACCTTTCACTTCCCTGAAGCAAGTCACTTTGCACAGCCCTCACTTAAGAAGTGCAGAGTTATGCTTCATCTCTTGAGATCAGAGTATCTGCCTAAAATATTGGACTTCATCTGTATGGGAGATGTGTCTATTCTTCATTTATTTATAAGATTATTTATTTATATTAGTATGGACTCATAGATATTTGATATTTTGGTTTATAAGCCAATACTACTTTATTTTTTCATTTTTTTTAATGTTTATTTTTTTGAGACAGAGTCTGACTCTGCTGCCCAGGCTGGAGTGCAGTGGCACAATCTCAGCTCACTGCAACCTCTGCCACCTGGGTTCAAGCAATTCTCCTGTCTCAGTCTCATGAATAGCTGGGGCTACAGGCACCCACCAACACGACCGACTAATTGTTGTATTTTTAGTAGAGACGGGGTTTCACCATATTGGTCAGGCTGGTCTCAAACTCCCAAACGTAGGTGATTCACCCGCCTCAGCCTCCCAAAGTGCTGTGATTACCAATACCACTTTATTTATAAAGCTATTTCATTTGGCTCCTGTACCCTTTTTCATATCCCATAACTGATTGATTTTGGTTTTGTTCAGTTTGTCTTACTATTTTACTTTCTGGTACTGCAAAATTCAAGCTTTTCCTTTAATATTTCCTGCCAGTTCTAGAATCAGCAATAGTTCTCTAAAAAGCTTTGTTTCTGTTTGCTGGAAAATTGTATGCAAGTCAATATCTTGATGGTAGGTATGCTTCTTGCTACTAAGGTGTTTGTGTTTCTATGTCCTCTCCAATGATAGAGCAAGAAAATATATGTTTATACCAACTATGCATCTATAATCAATATCCATATATATTTCCATGTGTAACCATCTGTACTAACATTAGACTAAAACGAGTTAATACTGATGTCCTCCACTCTAATCTATTATTATATAGAAAATTACACATACACTTCTCTCCTGCTTGTATGTTCCCTCCCACTCCAACAGTGACAAACCTACCTCCCATCATCTGCCATTGATTTACTTAATTGTTCAATCCTAGTATGTAGTTGACCCTAGAACAACACAGGGGTTAGGAGCACCTATGCCCCACACAGGCAAAAATCCATGTAGAACTTTTGCCTCCTCAAAAACTAAACTACAAGGAGCCTACTGTTGAGCAGAATCTGACTGATAACAGTCAATTAACACGTATCTTGTATGCTGTATGTATTATATACTGTGTCCTTACAATAAAGTAAGCTAGAGAAAAGTCAATGTTATTAAGAAAATTATAAGAAAAAGAAAATATATTTACTATTCATTAAGTGAAAATGGATCATCCTAAAAGTCTTCATCCTCACCATCCTCACATTGGGTAGGATGCAGAGGAGGAGAAAGAAGAGCAGTTGGCCTTGCTCTCTCATGGGTGGCAGAGGCAGAAGAAAATCTACAAATAAGTGGATCCATGTAGTCTAAACCCATGTTGTTCAAAGGTCAACTGTATATTTTAGGATTGTTAACTTACATCTTCTTGTGAAACAACTTTATCAGTTAGAGTTCTTTTGCCTTAAGTCTTACAGACTCCACTCATTTCCAGATTTACTTAGGTCACAAACTTTACACCCCTCCCCCGTCAGTGACGTGGTTTCATTCATTTGTTACAAAGTGAGATTCTTTTGTTACATTCTTCATTCAATTCTTGGATCCCTTAATCTCTTAAAAGATTATGTTTAAATTTGCATACATTAAGGTTTATTGTTTGTGCTGTGAAGTTCTATAGATTTCAGCAAATGCACAGTGTTGTTTATCCACCATTACAATGCCCTGCAGAATAGTGTCACTGCTTTAAAAAACATCCCCTGTGCTTCAGTGACTGTATGTGAAACTCCCTCTGAACTCATGAAAAACCATTGATCTGTTTTCTGTCTTTATAGTTTTGTCTCTTAGTCTGTCATATAAATGGAATAATACAGTGGGTAGACTTATCAGACTAGCTTTTTCATTTAGCAATATGAATTTAAGACTCATCTCTCTATGTGGTTTAATAACACATTAGTATTTATGATATCACATCCCATTGTCTGGATGTACCACAGTTTATCATTCACTTACTGAAGGATATTGAGTTTGCATTGAGTTTTTGGTGATTAAGAATAAAGCTTCTGGCCTGGCGCGGTGGCTCACGCCTGTAATCCCAGTGCTTTGGGAGGCCAAGGCAGGCAGATCACCTGAGGTCAGGAGTTCAACACCAGCCTGACAAACATGGAGAAAGCCTGTCTGTTATAAAAATACAAAATTAGCCGGGCGTGGTGGTGCATGCCTGTAATCCCAGCTACTTGGGAGGCTGAGGCAGGAGAATCGCTTGAACCCGGGAGGTGGAGGTTGCCGTGAGCCAAAGTCATGTTGTTGCACTCCAGCCTGGGCAACAAGAGAGAAACTCTGTCTTAAAAAAAAAAAAAAAAGAATAAAGCTTCTATAAATATTTATTTACAGGGTTTTTTTTAACATAAGTTTTAAATCACTTGGAAAAATACCTTAAAGCTCAATCATTGGATTGTATAATAAGATTATTTTTAATTTTGAGTGCAACTGCCAGAGTGGCTCTACCATTTTGTATTTCCACCAGTAATGAACGAAAACTCTTTTTGCTATTCATTCTCATCAGTATTGGTATTGTCAGTTTTTTTTGGATTTCAGCCATTCTGATAGATGTGTAGTGGTACTCCATTGTTTTTTTCATTTGCTTTTCTAATGAAAATGATATTTAGTATCTCTTTATACGCTTATATGTCATGCCATCTGCATATCTTTTTGCTGAAGTGTCTGTTCAGATATATATTTTGAAAATATTTCTCCCAAACTTGTAGCTTGCCTTTTAATTTTCTCAAGGTAACTTCTACAAAGCAGACATTTTTATTTTTAATAAAATCTACCCTATCAATTTTTTTCCATAGGTCATGCTTTTATGGTTATCTCAAAGCCATCACCAGACCCATGATCACCCAAGTTTTCATCAATACATGTTATAGTTTTTTCATTTTAATTTTATGTTTAAGTTCTAAGATCAATTTTAGTTTTATTTTTTGAAAGGTATATGATGTGTGCTAAGTACATCTCTTTGTTCCAGCACATCTTGCTGAACAAACTATTTATTCTCCAATGAAATTTTTTGCACCTTTGTTAAAAACTAGCTTACCATATTTGTGTGGGTGTGCTTCTGCAGTCTCTATTCAATTCCATTGATCTTTATGCCCATTCTCTTGTAAAACCATGTTGTCTCGATTACTGTCACTTTATACAAGTATTGAAATCAGAAAGTGGAGTACTCCAACTTTGTTTTTCAACGACTTGTAGGATACTTCAGATTTTTGCTTTCCATATGAACTTTGGAGCCAATTTGTTGATATCTATAGTGTAGCTTGCTGGAATTTTATAGAAATTGCATTGAATCTAGAGATCAAGTTGTGGAGAATTAATATTTTAACAAAATCGAGTCATCTAATCAATAAAGTATAACTACATTTATTTAGACAGTCTTTGATTTCTTTCATAATTTCTAGTTTTTTGTATGAGATATTATACATAATTTATTAGATTTATAGTTAAATATTTCTTTTATGGTGTGTATTATAAATGATATATTTTTAATTTGAAATTCTAATTTTTATTGCAGTATGTAGAGAAGTGAGTGGTTTTTGTATTAAATGATGTGCTTCCTGTAATATTGCTATATTTACTTATTATTTCAGATTTTTTCATAGATAACGTGGATTTTATAATCATTCATATTCAAATAAAAATTTTTTATTTTTTCTTTACAATCTATATATTCCTTTTATTTATTTTATTATATTAACTAAGAATTTCACTATGGTGTTGAATAGCAGTGGTGATAGCAGGCATTCCCATCATGTTCCTAAATTTAGACGTGGTGCGGAGTCCCTTATTAAGTGCAATGTTAGATATACTATTTTTCTTGATTTTTAAAAATCAAGTAAGGAATGTTCCCTTTTTCTCCTAATTTCTTGAAATTTTAGAAATCATGAATGAGTGTTGAATTTTGTCAGCTCTTTTTCTCCCTTAAATGAATGAGTAAATGATTTTTCTTTGTTAACCTATTGAAATGGTAGATTACAGTCACCCCTTGGTATTTGTAGGGGATTGGTTCCAGGACTCCTTCAGGATATCAAAATCAGCAGATGCTTGGGTCTCAAATAAAATGAAGTTGTAATTGCATATAACCTACATACATCCTCCCATATACTTTAAATAATCTCTAGATTATTTATAATAACTAATATAATGTAAATGCTATGTAAATAATTGTTACACTGTATTGCTTTTATTTCTAATTTTGTATTATTATTTTTTATTATTTTTTTCCCTAATATTTTCAATCAGCAGTTGGGTGAATCCACAGATGCAGAGTCAGCAGATACAGAAGGCCAACTGTGC
This sequence comes from Homo sapiens, assembly GCF_000001405.40. Lineage (NCBI taxonomy): Eukaryota > Metazoa > Chordata > Mammalia > Primates > Hominidae > Homo > Homo sapiens. The sequence goes on along the minus strand of NC_000005.10, from coordinate 21,739,272 downwards.
ATTGATTAATTGTTGAATATTGAAATAGCCTTGAATCTGGAATGACTGACCCTTGTTCATGATATATATTTGTTGAGGGTTTTTGACTCTATATTCCTGAGAGATATTGGCCTGTATTTTTTTCTTTATTTAAATATTATTTCTGGTTTGATATGAAGGTAATGATAGTCTCATAAAATGAATTATCTAGTATTACTCCTCCCTGTGTACTCTGAAGAAGATTGTGTAAAATTGGCAGTATTTCTTCCTTAAAGGTTTGATAGAATTCCCAAGTGACATAATCTGGGCCTGTTACTTTTTTGTTGAAAGCTCATTAACTGTGAATTTAATTCATATAATAGATGTAGAGTTATTCAGGTTATTTATTTTCTTCATGTGGTTTCTGTAGTTCGTGTCTATTCAGGAACTGATCCATTGAATCTAAGTTACAAAGCTTGTGGGCATAAAGTTTTTCATAGTTTTTATTATTGACATCTTAATGTCTATTAGATCAATAGTAATGATCCCTCAACTTTCATTTCTGATATTGTTAATTTCTGCTTTCTCACTTTCTTTCCAGATTAGTCTGGTAGAATTTTGTCAATTTTATTTATCTTTTCAATGGAGCCAGTTTTACCTTTATTGATTTCTCTGTTTCTTAATTTCAATTTTACTGATTTCTAAACTTCAATTCTATTGAATTCTGTTCTAATTTTAGTATTTTTTCTTATTTGTTTTGTGTTGAAATTGTTATTTTCTTATTGTACTTTAAGATAAAATCACAGATTATTTATTTCAGTTGTTTCTTCTGTTGTAATATATGCATTTAATGCTATACAATTCTGCTGCACACTTCTTATTATATATCTAAAATTTTGATAGGCTGCATTTTCATTTTCATTTAGTCTAAAATACATTTTTGATTTCTCTGGAAACCTCTTTAACCTATGTACAACTAAGGAAAGTTTTGTTTAATTTATAAACATTTAAATATTTACACAGGTTTTTTTGTTGCTGAGTTCTACTTTATTTCCATTGCAAATTGAGACCATATTTTTTCTCCTTTCTATTTTTCAAAGTTACTAAGGTGTGTTTTATAGCCCACAATGTGGTTTATCTTGGTGGCTGTTTAATGTCAACTTGAAAAGAATGTGCATTCTACTGTCCTTAGACGGAGTATTCTATAAATGTCAATTAGATAATATTGATTGATAATGCTGTTCAGGTCATCTATGTCTTTACTGATTTTCTGCCTACTTGATCTATTATTTACTGACAAAGAGATGTTGAATTCCCCTATAAAATTAGTGGATTTTTCCATTCTTCTTTTTAATTTGTATCAGCTTTGCTTCATGCAAATATGTAGGATTGCAGGTCTTCTTGGAGAGTTGACTCCTTTATACCTGATAAATGCTCTTTATCCCTGATACACTTCTTTGTTTTGAAGTCAGCTTTGTCTAAAAGTAATATAGCTAATACAGTTTATTTTGATTATTGTTAATATGGTCTGTGTTTCTCTATTTCTTTACATTATACCTCTCAGTGTCTTAATATTTAAAGGAGTTTCCATGTACATAGAAAATATGATTATGTCTCTTTAAAATCCACTATGATAATCTCTGACTTTTAATTGACATATTTAGAACATTATACTAGAACTCTTTTGTGTATTGAGAAGATGTGGAGGAGAAAGACAGTTCTATAAACTTCTGATTAAACCTCAATGTTACTAAAACTGTGTCTCAAGTGTGTGACCTTCAAAAGCATTTTTTCAATGGTATAACTCTTTAAAAAAAAACATACTGCCCCTATTCTTTTCAGTGTTTTTTGAACCAATTTTTGAATTGCTCTCTAAAAAATCTATTCCACACCACTATACACTCTCATATCTTGTTGCTATAACTTTCTCCATGTAAAAATTTATAGTTGGGCCGGGTATGGTGGCTCGCACCTGTAATCCCAGCCCTTTGGGAGGCTGAGGCAGAGGATCTGTTGAGGTCAGGAGTTCAAGACCAGTCTGGCCAACATGACGAATCCCTGTCTCTACTAAAGATACAAAAACTGGCCAGCTGCAGTGGTGGGTGCCTGTAATCCCAGCTAGTCAGAAGGCTGAGGCAGGAGAATTGATGGAACCCAGGATGCGGAGGTTGCAGTGAGTCAAGATAGCGCCACTGCACTCCAGCTTGGGCAACAGAGGGAGACCCCATCTCAAAAAAGAAAAGAAAAGAAAAGAAAGAAATCGTAGGGTTAATATGAAGAGCCAAAATTGACTTCATTAAAATTTACTAGAATAACAAAGTAATTGAGGACACTCTAAGAAACAAAAATTTACTAAACATTCAATTTTAGTATTATTTTCAGATGATTTTTACAACGTAATTGCTTATTTGTGTATATGCATGTGTATATGTACATATATATATATATCACACTAAATATTAAACAAGTTAGACCTATTCTTACCTAAATCCAATATCAGTAAATGAAAGTAGGATCTGGTGTTTTATAACTGCTATGTAGTTACATATTACAAGAATATAGCATGCCATGTTGTTATTTAGGAAAATAACATAAGAGAAGTAAGTTTTTAACAAGGCATTAAGCTGATGGACAAAAAGAATGAGCAGAGGAAAACTTTAGCTTTCCTTCATTATCATTTATGATGAGGATTTATTATAAAATCCTTTAAATTCTTGAGATACTGAAAAGGTCATATGGAAAATAAAACAATAAAAAATATGTCAGGTGCCCAGCCTATGAATGTTTCCCAGCATATGAACCATAGGATCAATTACAGAGGAGATTTAAAATAATTACCCCGAAAGTCCAGGTTTATTATGGCAACTGTGAACTAGGTAGACAACATAAAGTCAGATTCCCAAAGAATATTATATTTATGCTTATATCTTTTGTTCTCTTGAGGATGTTACATTTTGGCTGGGAGCATTAGCTCTCTTAAGACTATTACCTTGTAAACATTCAAGTAATATGATTGGGTTAAAAAGCTTAAGAAAACCTTTTATAAGAACAATAGTACCATTCATAAATTTTAAAAACATATTTAGAAGCTAGTCGTTTTCTTATTTTAAGAAACATAAGCATATAATTTTAAGTACTGGAAGAAGATTTGAACATTTAGCAACAACATAATGTGTTTTAGTCACAGGTATGTGCTTTTATTTTTCATTTCATTCACACAAAAACCCTATAAAATTAGTACTTAGTCAATAATGCAAATATAATATCTCAGCTTAATTAAAATTACACCTGCGGTCATAGCACTCTGAAGTTCATTTTGTGAAAAAAAGTAAAACCGGCCGGGCGCGGTGGCTCACGCCTGTAATTCCAGCACTTTGGGAGGCCAAGGCTGGTGGATCACAAGGTCATGAGATCGATATCATCCTGGCTAACACGGTGAAACCCTGTGTCTACTAAAAATACAATAAATTAGCAGGGCGTGGTGGGGGACGCCTGCAGTCCCAGCTACTCAGGAGGCTGAGGCAGGAGAATGGCGTGAACCCGGGAGGCCAAGCTTGCAGTGAGCCGAGACCGCGCCACTGCACTCCAGACTGGGTGACAGAGGGAGACTCTGTCTCAAAAAAAAAAAAAAAAAAAAAAAAAAAATTAAAACCAAGTAAAAACAGCAGCAACAAAAAACAATGAGAGCAACAAAAGCTCCCAACGTGATACCTCCCAACGAATTGTTTCCGCATGAAAGCAATGTATCTGCACTCACACCTGTTCACTTCAGTCTCAAACATGCGTGAATTCTGAAGTGAACCATTCTGTCAAAAGAATTACAATCTTAAAGAAAATCAGCACATTAGAAATGTAACCTCTTTCTTACTGAAACCCATGTAGTGTTTTACCCTGCGGCACTCACTCAAAAGGAAAAATGCATTTTCATCAATTTCTTAGTTATCACATTTGAACCTTTAATTTTTGTCCTCTAGATGTGAAAACTGAGACACTGAGAAGTTATCTAATTTCCCATAGTCTCAAAGCTAATAATTTTCAGAGGCCTGATATGGACATTTGTTGGACTGACTTCAGTGTTTAAGCTCTTTCTATATCATTTCTCTGTCTCCCCTTGACATACCTAAGCTGGATAATCTTTTACTTATCTCTAGCCTATTTCATTTTCCATTCCGTATAGAAGTTGTTTTAAAATTATCTGCTAGATTTATTTCCAGTCACTGCCATGCACAACTCCTCCTCCTCCAAGTCTCCACAGAAAATCAAACTCCCAACTTTATAGAGTAACTATTAATTATCTTTGCTCCACAGTTTTCCTCTCATCCTTCTTTCCTTGTCTCTTAACTTATAGAGAATATTTGTTAAATTTCCAGGAGTGCCCATACTTCAATACCTTGCACCCATACATAGTATTTGCAATCTCAAAGTGATTTTAAAGAATGAAGTTACAAATAATATAATTGTCAGGTCACTGTATTTTTTTTTATAATCCTCTTTCCTTCTACAAATTGATTCTTTTTACCTTTTATTTCTTTGGCTCATTATCAAATTTTCAAGATTTCCAAGTCACCCCCAGCAATAATATGTTTATATTCTCTTGTGTGTCTTCATTGTTATCCATTTATTCTTATAAAAAATCATTAATTGGTGATCTAATTTGTACCAGTCAGTAAAGAAGCTACATTGGAAAAGTCTACCGTTCAGTATTTATTTTTGTTTGTGTTTATACGGACAAAGACAGATAAACTATGAAGAATGCTGACTAAGGAAGTGCTGACACCCCCATACACACACCATAATTAATAAATATCTGATTTTTCTTTCTTCAAGTTAGTACTAAGAAGGAAAGAAGGCATAAAAACATATTTTAATGCAAACATATTTAATGCATATTTAATGCAATATTTTATCAAGTGCTAGCCATAAGGATTTCTTAATAAATGTCACTAGAGTATTTAAAAATTATTTGTTCATAAAAAAAGTTAGATTCTGGATCAGCAAATCAACTATTTTTATAGTATTATGTTGGTGCAAAAGTAATTACAGATTTTGCCATTAAAAGTAGTGGCAAGAATAGCAATTACTTTTGCACCAATTTAATAGTTATATAAAATATGAGCTCAGTTATTCAAGCAGGCACAAAGTTTACTTAAAAGTAACTATAGCAATGTAATAATAACATTTCAATGTACTTTTATTTTTCATATTTTTAATATTTGATTAAATGAGTTTACATACATCTTTATTATTATTATTATTATTATTATTATTTTGAGATGGAGTTTTGCTCTTTTGCCCGTGTTGGAGTGTGGTGGCATGATTTTGGCTCACTGCAATCTCCACCTTCCAGTTTCAAGCGATTATCCTGCCTCAGCCTCCCAAGTAGCTGGGATTACAGGCGCGTGCCACCACGCCTGGGTAATTTTTGTATTTTTTTTGTAGAGACAGGGTTTCACCATGTTGGCCAGGCTGGTCTCAAACTCCTGACCCTGTGATCTGCCTGCCTCGGCCTCCCAAAGTGCTGGGATTACAGGTGTGAGCCACCGCACCTGGCCTTATTATTGTTTTAAATGCATTTATTAATGCAACAAATATTTATTGATAATCTAGTTTGGCTAGACATCATGCTACACAATGGAGAAATAAAGGTTATTTAAAAATTCACATTTTCTGCTGTCAGAGATATTAAATCAATTTCCTAAATTATACACACAGACACACACACACACACACACACACACACACACACACACCTCACTCTTCTAAGCTTGGGGCCTGCAAGAAGGGATTGCTTTTCTATGCTTTAGTCTTAGTGATGGACTGACCGATTGCATGCTTTCCCCTCTGTTTAGAATCCATGAAAAATGCTTTGTAAGAATCATGCAATGCAATCATTATTTATGAATTATGCAGTTGTACAATTAATGGGATGATATTTTTGGTTAATTTTTAGACTTGTGCTGTTTGTTTAACTTATTACATGTAGTTTTTTGTTGCCCTTCCATTTAGAATACAGTCTGGATCATCTCATCTTGGCATTCTATCCATTAATAAGGAAGAAAGCAAATTCTTAGAAAAATAAATCAAACAGCCAACTATCTAACTGCCATCTTTTTGCTTAGATTACAACTTATTATGTTGGGAAAATAGTAAACACAGTAGTGGATTTTAACAAGAATATTCAGACAAGAGATATATTTGACAAGAAATGGCTTGGCCAGCCTATGAAGAGAGCATGGTATCTGATACCATCCAAATTCTGGAATCTCATCCACCTTTATTATGTATTCATCTTTATTAGTCTTTCTTCCCCATGTGTCCAAGAAATTGTCTCATAAACTCTTTTATAGTGGCAATATTTTTGTTCAAAAATATTTTATTTTGTTCAGTGACATTTTGAATTTCAAAAAGGGTGGATGGAAGCCTTTGCTTAGCTGAAGATAACATAATGAAGTTTTAGTTACAGAGTAGTGAACACTAGTATACTGGGTATTTTAGTATACTGGGTATTTTCAAGGAGAGATCTTTTCTGTAATAACAAGTAAGAATAGTCCTAAATTCTTGATATAAAATAAAAACCATTTTACTGATACTGCATACAGTATTTTAAAAGGAGGAATGTGAGAAACTGTTGTAATATTGACACCCAGTGATTCATGCTTCCCTATATCCATGCCCTGACCATTGCCTGTGAACCTTGTCATGTGATTTGATTTAGTTAAGTGGGAGCTAAGATGTATAATTTAAGAAGAAGCTAAAATGTGTAATTAAGAAGAAGCAAATGTATAATTTAAGAAGAAATGTGTAACTTAACAAGTCATGCCCTTAATCTCTTGTTGTCTTTGGACTTAGCCAGCAAGGATGTCTTGGTTGGTATCCTGAAAACATGTGGCCAGCAGCAAAATCAACAGTATTATAAACAACACAATCATGACCATTTAGTCTGAGTTTATTGTTTGCAGCAGAAGAATCACTTAGCAAGGCTCAAGCCACACTGCTAATCAACAAATAAAATGTTATAAACCAACACATTTTAGAGGTTTTCTTATGTCACAACATGATACAAAGATATATTTAAATTGATTAATCAAGTACATTATTATTATTGTGGGATACACATAATAATAAACAACATCTGCATAGCACTATATAGGTAACACATCTTCACAGTCATGGTTTAATTTGGTCCCAAAACCTTCTAAATTCTCATTAGTTTTTTGTTTGTTTTTGTTTCCGTTTTTGTTCGTTTGCTTCTAAGCACAACATAAGTTAAATTAACTAAGCATAGTATATGACAAAAATGCAAAAAGAGTTTAATGGACCACTCACTAGAGTCAAAGTTGTATAATAAGCTTCAACAAGACAAATAGTATGATCATTCTGATAATAATTTGAAGATTATAGAACAGCGCTTGAATTTATTGGGGTAGTGAAAGAGAAAATCTTGGTGTTTTAATATAAAGACTATCATAATACCTTAACAGATGTTGACGCTCAGATATTCAATAAATTAGTTTGAACTTATTGTAGCATGCTGAAAAATGTTTCCCTACAAGATATCAACTTCCTAATCCCTAGAATATTTGAATGTTACTTTATTGGAATTTTTTTTAAAGAAAGGTTTCACAGATGTGATTGATAAGGATCTTGAGATGGGGGGATTATTCTGATTTATCTCGTTGAAACCTAAATGTAATTATATGTATCCTTCGAAAGGGGAGTCAGAAAGGCACCTGACAAGCACAGCAGAGAAGGCAATGTCAACACAAAGCAGAGGGAGATTTGAAGACACTAGCCAAGGAATTCCAGCAGCTATCACAAGCTGGAAAATGAAAGGAACAGCTTCTCTTCTGGAGCCTCTGGAGAAAGTGTGACCATTTTTGGCCAAGTGAAACTAATTTTGGATTTCTAACCTCCACAACTACGACAGCATAAATTTATGTTGCTTTATATCACCAGATTTGTGGCAATTTGTTATAGCAGCTATAGAATACTAATATAATTTTGTTCTGTAAAAATGAAAAATCAAATTGAAAATATCTGTATAATTTATATTTTTAAGTTTTTCCAAAAATAAATTAACTAATTAGTTATTAAGATAAGTAATACCTTATGAACACTAAAATGGTAATAACTTAGATCATTCACTTTATTGTTTTAGTACCTATATCACTGTATGTGATTTCTTTGATTCCACATCAAGTAAAGGGTGAGGGACACATTCAGAACAGTGAGCCCAGTGTCATATTATCATCACTACAATATGGCTATGAACTTCCAATGTTATTTTCAGTGTGATTAAAAGCAAAAAGAAAACAGATAATTTTTATTGGAGAATTGACATTTTATTGATACTTGGAAAATTCTGCTGGCTGCTTTAAAAAATATATCTAATAAGAAAAGAAAGGGAACAGAACAAAATAATTAGAAAATTGTTACTGTGGACCAAGGTAAGGGATGATATTACTTTGAAGGGACATAGCACAATTAGTATTCATTCTCTAGTTATTGAAAATTTGGGTCATGTCTGGTTTGAGGCTATTAATAAAGCTGTTGCGAACATTTTTTTAAAGCCTACTTGCTTGTTTTGTTTTCATTTGTTTGGGGTAAATAACCAGAAATGAATTTTCAGGTTATAGAGTAAATAGATGTTTAATTTTTTTGAAACTGTCAGACAAATTTCCAAGTATTTTACGTTCTTATTACCCTATCTTTCTTCTTCATCGAAGACCCTAATTATACATTCATTAAGAGTCACATTTTGACTCATAAACCTCAGAAGTTTTGCTCATTTTTCATTCAACATTTTCCTTTCTGTATTTCAATTTGGATGGTCATCCTTACTGACCTTGATTTCAAGTTTATTGATTTTCATTTACATTCTTCCGTGTCTAAAGTTTTTCTTCAGTGCCTAAATCTGCACTTAAGCAACGTCAGTAAATTAAATAATTCACTGGAAATTCATTCATAGTTTTTACTTCTCCATTGAATTATTTTATTTGCTTCTTTATTATGCTAATATTTTCATTAAAACTTGAACATATTTTAATATCCGTTTACAAATGTAAATTTCATTATCTATCATTTCTGGACCTGCTTTTATTCTTTGGTGTATCTCTTGGTTATAAGCCAAATTTTTCTATATTTTTACAACTTTAGTACTTCTTGATTGTGTGCAAAACATTATGGATACTATTTTTTATGTATCTAGAATTTGTAGTTTTTTTTAACTGAATGTTGTTTCATTACATTAGTCACTTAATTTACTTGTAGACAGATAAGATTAATGTTTTTGAAACTTGTGATTACACACTGTTAAGGTAGGTATAGTATGACCTTTACTCTAGGACCATAATAGTTTGACTACTAATCTGGGTTATTACACAAGTCTGTACTGAATAACTATGATGTTCCTAAAGGACTATTCATTTTGACTGACTTGAAGAACTCAAATATTTCACAGCCTTATATGGACTTTGCTATTTGTACAGTTTACAGTTATACAATAATGATTATTTGACTGGTTTTGTGAAGTCTTACTCTGTGCATACATAGTTTTGTATTCTGGCAAAGACTAGTACTTCTTTGCAAATTTCTGGAAGTCTTTCTCAACTACCTTTTTTTGATACTCTGGCTCACACAAATTTTACCACGTCTCTATGCTCTGTCTTCTAGGTTGTTCTTCACTGTGCCCCAGTCCGGATAGTGGCTTCATAAGGAAAGCTTAGTCAAGCAGGAGCCTTCCTCATTTCTTTTCCTTTCATGGGGAGATCACAGTCACATGCTGCCCCCTCATTCGTGAAAACAGTTATCTTGCATATTTTGTCAGAGTTACAGGGGTTTAGAGTGGGAGGGCTAGTATATAACCAGCCCCTCTACCATGCATGAAATAGCAAGTCTCTGGAGTAAAGTTTTCGAACAAGTAAGAAAAAATGGATCCTGTGCACAGGTAAAAAGATTAGCCTTAAATAAGATATAGAAAGGTTAGTCCAGAAACCTTGAACACATACACAATCAGATGTATAGTGTTTTTCTATAATCCTCTTGTTTCAGGGAGAGTCATACACTATTTCATACCAACAAGCCATGTGATAACTATGATAGTATCCTACCTATATTGCCTTTGCATTCAAATTAGGTATTAAATTGCATGGATTTCTATGCTATTAACATATCTGCCTCTTCCTCTGCTTTCCCACTATAACTGCCTTAGCATAAGGCCTCATTACTTTTTGACTACTTTTTATATTATATTCAAATATAATTCTAAATTTCAAATATAATCCTAAATTTAATAATTAGGTTACAATAAATTCTAAAACTATTATTTGTCTTAGTATATGCTAACAGGAAATAAGATATTGCTGGAAAACAATGGTATTAATAGTATGTTTTAGTCTGCTTGGGTTGCAACAACAAAACACCACATACTGGGTATCTTAAATAACAGACATTCATTTTCTCACAGTTCTTGAGGCTAGAAGCTCAAGAGTTGGTTAGGTGCTAGCCCATTAGGTTTCTGATAGAACCTCTCTTCCTGGCTTGTAATGTGTTGCCTTCTCACTGTGTTCCTACATGAATTTTCCTCAGCAGGTTTGTTGAGAAAGATAACAAACTCTCTCGTGTGTCTTCTTATAAGAATATCAATTCTATTATATCAGAATCCCAATGTTATGACCGTATTTGGCCTAATTACTTTCTTAGAGACCCCATCTACAATCTCACACTGGGGTTAGGGCTTCAACGTATGAATTTTGGGGTAACATAGTCCAACCATTATGGATTACCACTAAAATTTAATTTGAAATGCCGTTTTTAAAAAATTGCCAATTTGAAGGATATTCTTAAAGAATGACATTCAACAATGACTGTAGTTACAAAAAAAAAAACAAGTTTTTTCCAATCTATTCTATAACAATGAATTTTTTTCACTGATTGGCATCATAGAAAATTATCTTTTCTATATATTTAGAATGTAATGTATTTTTCTTTCATTTTGGAAATCTACTTATTATATATTATATATTATATATATAATATATATATATATAAGGACATTTGTGATGATATTTGAGGAGGCAAATACAAAAGATACTAAAATTCACATTCATTAGAAAGACAGTTATAGGAGAGAGGAAGATAAATATTCTCACCCTTATTACTGTTGTACATTACATCAGTGATATGGTACATCACATCGGTGATATGAGACAGGGTCTGGGGATTTTTTTAGCAAGGATTGCAGAGAAGTTTGGATAAGTGACTTTTGTAAACCTAAGTTCACAAATAAATGTGAATGTGAATATTTGAGCCTGGGGAGTGTGAAGGATATAAATAAGCTCTGTGCTCACACCTAAGAGTACTTCAAGTACTCTGCACTACAACACTCATTTTTACTTACTATAGAAACCAAATTTTTAATAAACTAAAACTATGATATCCCCTGGGCTTAGTTTCCAATTTCTCAAAAGTTTTAAAAATTCCTTGATTCAAATTTCATATGCTAAAACTATTAACTGGAGCTACCTTATATCACTGTATTGCCAGTTCGTTTCCAGGCAGAAAATCTTATTAGCTGAAAATAGCTTACACTCAGAAACAATATGTGTGAATGAAGGACAATGAAAATGTTGATATTTACTGCAATCGATGTAAAACAGTGACTGACTTGAAAATGTACTCAAGTGTAGCATGTGTTAAAGAAATCATTTGTCAATGTACTGCTGCTTTGTAAAGCACTGCGTGAAGATAATTTGGTTTTGCTTAAGAAACAGTTCTGGAACAAAAGTTTAAATGGAAAATAATTATAAACTCGTGTTATATGGATAGTGGAAATAATAGGCTTTGGAATTGAGCAGTGTTAAGTAGGCTTTTGGGAATTAATACATAAAAACATAAGCAAATAGGTCTCTGAAGGTTAGTAAAGCAATGAGACTGTGTAGTCTGATTCCAGTTAAAGTCTCTTGTTCACGGCTCATAACTGAACATCAAACTGAAGAAACTTCATAGTAAGTTCTATCGTAAAACACAGAACATTTTTCTTCAAAATAATTTTAGTGCTTGAATTTAGACAAAATAGTTATGCAAGTTGAAGAGTATTCAACGACTACATACACTATGTACACATTACATTTTAGCATGCTGCTTTCCTCTCTTCCCCTTATGGTTATGGTTTCTTGATGAGTAATTAGGAGGTAAAGAACTGACGCTAGTGGCAGTAGTTAGAACTGACTTGAGAAGATGAACATTTTCCTGGATGGAGTCCTTAGGATTGGTTCATCGTTTGTACTTTTGAACTTTTCCTCTTCCCATCACTTTAAATCTTTGCTTTTCATTCTAGGATGCCTTTATCATCCTTCCTCTTTATTGCGTTCAGCTATTAATTTATTTATGTAATTCTTTTTTTTACATAATTTATTTAAAAAAGAAAACTAGGACGGGCGCTGTGGCTCACGCCTGTAATCCCAACACTTTGGGAGGCCGAGGAGGGCAGATCACGAGGTCAGGAAACCGAGACCATCCTGGCTAACACGGCGAAACCCTGTCTCTACATAAAATACAAAAAATTTGCCGGGTGTGGTGGCGGGCGCCTGTAGTCCCAGTTACTCTGGAGGCTGAGGCAGGAGAATGGCGTGAGCCCAGGAGGCGGAGCTTGCAGTGAGCCGAGATCGCGCCCCTGCACTCCAGCCTGGGCGACAGAGCAAGACTCTGTCTCAAAAAAAAAAAAAAAAAAAAAAAAAAGCACTATTTGGTAACCTCAATTGATTGGCAAAGAAAATCATGTTGACACTCTCATCTGTTTCAAGCACTGCTGTAATAAATCGTTCCTCTCTCATTTTTTATAACTTGGAAATAACATGGCACACTTAACATATTTTATTGTCTCTTAAAACCTACCTCATTTAGTGTGTATGCACTACCTGCATTTTACATTGACCTTTGATCAGATTTCTCAACCCTTTAGTGAACGCTATTTTGTCTGAGACTGTCCTTGAACAAACTGTGACTTAAGAATTTGTTGGTGGCTCACACCTGTAATCCCAGCACTTTGGGAGGCCAAGGCAGGTGGATATCTTGAATCCAGGAGTTTGAGACCAGCCTGGGCAACATGGCAAAACTCGGTCTCTATAAATATATATATATATAAATTAGCCAAGCGTAGTGGTGTATGCCTGTAGTCCTAGATACATGGGAAGCTGAGATTGGAGGATCACTTGAGCCCAGGAGGCTGAGGTAGCAGTGAGCTGAGATTGCACCACTGCACTCCAGCCTAGGTGACAGAGCAAGACACTGTGTCAAAAATAAATAAATAAATACAATTTAAAAAAGGAATTTGTCATAGTCTTTCCAGTTTCTTTATAATTATTAGTTTGAAATATATTTCTTTATAAAATGTCATGAGACAATACTTTCTTTGGGATTTAACAATTTTTTTTTGAGATATTTTATCACGAAATGATCAAGTATCACCTTGTCTTTTGTCCTTATAGGTTGCATTACATTCATTGATTTTACAATGTAAACCACCCTTGTATTCCTAGGGTTAAATTACACCAACTTCATTTAGTCTATAGATTTGATAGTATCCTGGAAATTCCCATCATTTCCAACATTCCTACAACATTCAATATATAATAGAGGCCGGGTGTGGTGGCTCACACCTGTAATCCCAGCACTTTGGGAAGCTAAAGCAGGTGGATCACTTGAGCCCAGGAGTTCAAGACCAGCCTGGGCAACATGGTGACACCCCTTCTCTACCAAAAATTCAAAAAATTAGCTAGACATGGTAGTGCATGCCTGTATTCCTCGCTACTTGGGAGGCTGAAGTGGGAGGATCACCTGAGCCTGGGAGGTCAAGGATGCAGTGAGCCGTAACCATGTCACTGCACTCCAGCCTGGGTGACAGAATGAGATGCTGCCTAAAATACACACACACACCAGCAACATGCACTCTAAAATTATCAGAGATATAAAAAGGTATAAAATGTATAGTTTACCAATCTCACTTTGCTACCACCCTGTCTCATAAAAGAATGTAAAGTTTTTTTAGTGATTTTTAAATGATTTTATAGAATATATTTCTTTATTAGGCTGAAGAGGCATATTATCTTCCTGGATAGTTTTCCTGAATAAATATGATGTAAAAGTGAAACGTGAAATGTGTAAAATGATTCAGGCTAAGGCCATCTCTTTTTACTCAAAACAAGACTATGAACCTCTAACATTTTTATATTGCTGACTTAAGATAGAATTTTAAAACTAAAATGCCAAAGTGGCAGGTTTATCATTTTAAATTAATTTAGTAACAAATTGCAATACATTATGAGAAAGCAGTAAAATAAATGTTAAATTTTCCAGTTTTATTCTTTATAGGGTGTCTCCTGTTCTGTATTAAATTGTAACTAGATATTTATTTTGTTTGTGTTAAATATATTAATTGTTTTTTATGTCTGAAAAAAGTATTATATTAAATAAGGTGTTCTTACATTTATACCATAACAGGAATGAAAAGGGTTTCATTAGGTACTGGCAAATTATGTTATATAACAAAGTTGCAGTGTTATGAATTGTACTATGGCACAAAAAGAAAATATCAGGAGAAATGGAATTCACAAGATAATTTTGTGGAATATTGTGGAATTAATTGTACAAGGTAATTGAATTGATACAGTCGCTCATTTGCTGATTACCAACCCTATGGATTTCTGGAATGGTAAAAAGAAAATATCAGGAGAAATGGAATTCACAAGATAATTTTGCGGAATATTGTGGAGTTAATTGTACAAGGTAATTGAATTGATGCAGTTGCTCATTTGCTGATTACCAACCCTATGGATTTCTGGAATGGTACTATGGCACAAAAAGAAAATATCAGGAGAAATGGAATTCACAAGGTAATTTTGTGGAATATTGTGGAATTAATTGTACAAGATAATTGAATTGATGCAGTTGCTCATTTGCTGATTACCAACCCTATGGATTTCTGGAATGGTAAAATGCCTGATAATCAAGCATCATTGATTATTGAATTCATAATCAAGAAGCCAAGTTATTCTTTGTTTGCTTGTAAGTTACATCAAAGATCAAATTTTGAGGAACGAAAAGCAAAGAGTGACTAAATGCTGAGAGATGCATTTCTTTTCTTTTTGAAGTCTCCCTGGCTTGAGGAAAGCTTCCATTTGTATAATACCTAAAAGAAGACAACATTTGAAAGATATAAAGGAGAAAATGAGGACCAATTCTCTAGTGGAAACGAATGGATTGATAAGGAGGAAGGCAAACTAGAAGAGAGAGGAAAGGCATAAAGTTTTGTGAAGCAAATTGTGAGATATTGGAAAGATTAAGGACAGCTGAGTGTGAAGAACCATGAACTCTGAATGCTTGATCCTCCAAAGGCATACGTTATGGGGCTTACCTCCTTTCTCACTTGTGGTTCAATGGAGCTTGTGAATTAGATACGGTCCCTATTCCCTGTTCTTACACACCATGATATCCCAGGAACTTTGACTTTTAAGTAATAATCTATTTAAATCTCCATTGGTTAGGTTTTCAGCCTGTTTATGACTGTCACGATTCTATTCAGAAGTCCAGAGCCCACCTAGTGTTTATGCAGATTCCAACCAGCACAGGCCTGAGGAAGGAACAATGATGAGCTCTCTCACAAGAAGATTTTGAGCCACAGAGACCAACAAAAAATTCTCCCAAAATAGAGGCCATCAGCTCTGATATGCAAGAGAGTTTTACCAAATTATAACATTCCTAAAGTTATTGCAGATTATGTTATGACTAGTGAATTTAAAAATTACACCAATTTAGAAACTGTTATTGCCTATAATTTTCATAACTACTAAATATTTTTAATAAATAGAAATAACATACTTCAGTTGAGAGGAGTCAACATTTAGTCATAAAACAATTTAATGTCAAGGCCGTTCTTATAGATTCACATTAAAGGAAAGAATAACAACCAAAAAAATGGATGTTTTAAGATACATAGCAAAGGATGGCTATGTTTGAATCAGTATGATTAAATGGCGAACTATAATTTTTGTACAGTGCAAAAGTGTTTATATTTTAGTTGTTTTTAGCATATAGGAAATATTTATAATGCAGAATCATAATTTTAAAAAATTATAATAAACACAATACTTATATATAAATGTATGATATTATATACTATAATTAATATATCATCAGTGTAAAGTATAACATACACTTAATATATACTATGTAATATTCTAATGTCAATACTAATTAATTATAATTACCAACATACAAATTAATAAGTTTTATTTAATTAGGGCTAATCTTTTCTTCAAAGGAATGCTCACATTTGTGATTTATACTTATTCTTCTCAGAGAGAAAATTTATATTGTCTTGCTGCCATCTTAACATTGCTAATTAGATCATAATTTTAAACTCATGCTTTTTGGTGAAAGTACCAAGCAACAGAGGAGAAAGGACTAACAAGGAAGACAGAGCAAATTTTCCAAGGCAGTTAGTCTAAGGAGGACTGTGATGCCTTAGGTTTTGATGGGAAGGAAGAATTGCTCAGGTTTGAAAATATTACATGGACCTGCATCATAGAGGGAAATCTGATTTCGTTCAGCCTCACTTACACAGTATTTATATACTATATATGAAATATTTAAATGTATTCTTTGTCTCTTTCTCCCTGCAGAACGGAAACCATTCTTTTTAGAACTAATGCTTGTATTCTCAACTCCTACTTTCTTTTAGTTACCCTATGTTTAATGTTTTTTAGAAGTAATTTTTTCTTTATTTTTTACCTGAGAACTTTATGTTATTAGTTTTATGTGTTGAATATTTATAGTTTTATGAATTTTCTTAAACTTTCAAGTCAAAAACTATAAACTCTCAGTTAATACCTCATAGAAAATAAATCCTGGATAATATTTTATTAAAAGTATATTTAAGATAACTTAGCCATTTTTGTCCCAAATTCAGAAAATTTTAACTCTCAAAATATTTAAAATCACTATAGAAAATATATAATCTCATGAGATAATTAAAAAGTTAAATATCTCTAAAGTTTGAATAGACAGTGGCTCTGGATTTGCAAATTTCATCTGTGGTGTGGCTGAACCATCAGAGCTGATATGAATGTTTTCTCAGGCATGATTGCATTATGATATCAAATATCAACAGCACCTAGGATAACATGTGAGCATGTCCTGTTCTAAACTCCACCATGTCTAAACACGAACACTAATCTTTCAATTTGTTCATTACAAATGAGGTACATTTCCAAAATTACAATAGTAAAAAAATAGTGTCAGCAGAGGGTGAAAGAACCAAAGAAATGACTATGATTTTTATTTATTTTTTTATTTTTTTGAGTTGGAGTCTCGCTCTGTCACCGAGGCTGGAGTGCAGTGGCGTGATCTTGGCTCACTGCAAGCTCCGCCTCCCAGGTTCACGCCATTCTCCTGCCTCAGCCTCCCAAGTAACTGGGACTACAGGTGCCTGCCACCTCGCCTGGCTAATTTTTTGTATTTTTAGTAGAGACGGGGTTTCACCATGTTAGCCAGGATGGTCTCGATCTCCTGACCTCGTGATCCACCCGCCTCGGCCTACCAAAGTGTTGGGATTACAGGCGTGAGCCACCGCGCCTGGCCTATGATTTTTGAAGAACATGAACATACAGAATTTTCTTCTAAATTGACACATGCATTTTCCAATATTCAACCAAAAATATGATACGGAAATATAAAAATATAACCAAGACACAAAAAATCACATTCTTCAGAGTCAGTTCATTCTGAATTTTTATCAATATGTGAAGAAACTTGAGAAAAAAAAAAACGAAGATGATTTTGCCTCATGAAATTATGTGTGTTGCTTTATTTGTTAATTGTTAATTTCTTGATAGCTTGCAAACACTATATTGGTCCTCAAAAAAACTACATCCCACACACCCCATTATACTAATTAGAAAAACAATATATTGGGAGGCCAAGGTGGGTGGATCACCTGAGGTCAGGAATTCAAGACCAGCCTGGCCAACATGGCAAAACCCTGTCTCTACTAAAAATACAAAAATTAGCCAGGCGTGGTGGCAGGCACCTGTAATCCCAGCTACTCAGGAGGCTGAGGCAGAAGAATGGCTTGAACCTGGGAGGCAGAGGTTGCAGTGAGCCGAGATCGCACCACTGCACTCCAGCCTGGGTAACAAGGGTGAGACTCTGTCTCAAAAAAAAAAAAAAAAAAAAAGAAAAGAAAAGAAAAACAATATATTTATTATACAAGTGATAAGTTTTTAGAAGATGTAATTTCTTCATCCCCTAGTCTTTGCACAATGTACAAAATACAGATAACTTTTTGCTGGGAATGAAGTCCTGTTTGTTTTAGGTCATAGCTCATAGATAGACCTAACAAAATATCTAGATGACAGGGATTTTAAGTGGGAAACACTAATCATTCAGGACTGTATAATTTCCCAAATTATTTCAATTATAGCATGTCCAAATGGGTTCGTGCAAGTTAATGGGTACAGACTCGTAGAGTCTATTCACAACTTACATGTCAAAAGACAAAAATTAATGCAAGAAATTGAATTTCATCTTAATAGATAGACACCATTTATTTTTTCAGTTTTCAATGCATTTTAAATGTGTTTTTAATTCAATTGGAAGCAAATCGGTGACTGATTTTCTCTCTAGAATTGGAAACATAGTTCCAGGGAAAATGAATGTATCTATTGGTAGTAAGAGGAATCCAAATGATTCATTCGTATCTTGAATGGGGGCCACATTTTTATCAAAATTAACACAGAGAATGCATCCCTGGCATAAGAGGGACTGCAGGTGCCATTCAAAAAGTTTAATTTGCAGAAACTCCATTCTGGAAGGGCCAGACAAAAATTTATGTACTTGAAACGGTGGCAAAATTAATTTATACAGATTCTCCATAACAAACTTGGTAATGGCTGAATTTCTGGCAAAAAAGGTAATCTGGTTATGAATCCATATCCTTCATTGATTGGCTTCCTCTTGTAGCAAATAGCAGAGATTTCAAATCTTGCCAAAGGCAACTTATCCAGATTCTTGCCAAAGAGTTTGATTTTTGGCATGATCATCAAATTGATTTATTTCTAGTAACATTTTCCAAAGGTTGCATGTTTCCAGGAACCTCGCAACTATAACTGGCTTTATAGGGTCAGACCAGAAATAGAAATGACCAACAAAATAAGCTGTGTAATTTACTGATTTACTGTGGCAAAGCTTTATATTCTTAGCTGTTTCTGAGAACCACAATAAATGCCTTCTGTCATAGACAATTCTTAGAGTTGATGGTGAGTCCAAATGGCTATTTCTTTAGATGTCATCAAATACAGCTTAAACATATGCAAACATTCTTTTTAAAAAATTGCTTGTTATCTAAAAAAATATATTCATGGGCTTCTAAAGTTAAGTGCATCACGTGAAAAATATTTTTTATTCAATAAGACAAAAATGATGCACATATGTATTTATATTGGGTATATATTGAACTATTTTCTGTATAACCTAGTATTGATTGCCTGAAGTAAGTTTGTGATTTTATATCTTTATATCTTAATTGCTTTTTTTCCTGACTTGGTGATGATATCAACTGTTTTTGAAGTTTTTCAAATAAATGGATTTATTTCAGTTTTGATATACATCATAATTTAACAAGTTTTATTTTCATTCATAGGTCTACCAGAATTATTAATCCAGTTATACTTCTTTCTTTCTTTCTCTCTCTTTCTTTCTTTCTTTTTTTTTTTGAGATGGAGTCTCACTTTGTAGCCCAGGTTGAAGTGCAGTGGCGTGATCTCCTCTCACTGCAACCTCCGCCTCCCAAATTCAAGTGATTCTCTGCCTCAGCCTCCCAAGTAGCTAGGATTACAGGCGCACGCCTCCACTAGTTTTAGTGGAGACGGGGTTTCACCATCTTGGCCAGGCTCTTGAACTCCTGACCTTGTGATCCACCTGCCTCAGCCTCCCAAAGTGCTGGGATTACAGGCGTGAGCCACCGTGCCTGGCCCAGTTCTAAACTTAAAAAAATACATAGTGGCAGTATTTTTTCAAGTCACTAAATGCCATTAATACATTAATGTTTACTTTTGTGAGGTTTTCCCCACAATATCTTAATTGCTTTTTTTTTTTCTTTTTGAGAAGGCCTTCCTCTGTTGCCCAGGCTGGAGTGCAGTGGTGGGATCTCAGTTTACTGCAATCTCCACCTCTAGGTTTCAAGTGCCTCACCTCCCAAGTAGCTGGGATTACAGTTCTCTACCACTACGCCACCCATAATATCTTAAATATAATCAGATCAGAATAGAAATGTATTTGTACCATGTTTTTATTTTATATTAATTCTCCAAACATTAATGTCGTATAAAATGCTTCCTTTTAATAGCTACTGGGGAATTGGAAGTACAGAATTAGTCTAAATAGGAACCAATGGTGGATTGTCTTTTCTATCAATGAGTGTATGGGATGACTTCCATTTGACATTCTAGATCTATACTACAATATTACTTGCCCTACTCATTGGCTGGGAGTACGAACTATAGAGATTAGGTTAATAGACCTTGTATTCTCTGGGTCCTGCTGACATTGACCAGTGAGGAGCTCCAGCAAGAAACCAAAGAAAAGAGAGAAAGAGTATATGTTTCCTTGGTTCTTTCCTTTTGAGGTGGCATCAGGAAAATCAGATTTCTTTAATGGCAGGTCTCTACTCCTCTGAGTGAAGCTGACCCTAGAGGACTCTCTTTTCAGATTCTAATGATTTTTTTCTGCCCTTGACTCTTTGAGCCTAGAGATATTGATAGCCACTGTTGCTATGTCTGAGTTCCTGCACTATCCCTTGAGGTTTCCTGCAGTTAACAGATTTTTTTAAGTAGGCAATTCCTTTGGAAATATGCTTTTCACCTACTATACAAATTAGAATGTGTCATCTGTTTCTATCAACACTTGAATACATGGGTACGTGATTTTTTTCATAATTAATTAATAATACAAAAATGTTATTATTTTACCTGAAGCCCTGAATTCAAAATGAATGAAGCACTATTCCCAGCCTAACTTCTGGTGATATAGCTAGGCTTTGTATCCCCACCCAAATCTCATTTTGAATTGTAATATCTATAATCCCTATGTGTCAAGGGAGTGATCAGGTGGAGGTAGTTGAATCATAGAGGTAGTTTCCCCCAATGCTGTTCTTGTGAAAGTGAGTGAGTTCTCATAAGATCTGATGGTTTTATAAGGCACTTATTCACTCAGCACTTCTCCTTTCTGCTGCCCTGTGAAGAAGGTGTCCTGTTTCCCCTTGTAAGTTTCCTGAGGCCTCCCCAGCCTTGCTGAATTGTGAGTCAATGAAGCCTCTTTCCTTTATTAATTACCCAGTCTCAGGCAGTTCTTATTAGCAACGTGAAAATGCACTAACACAGTAAATCCGTATAAAGGTAGTGGGATGTTGCTATAAAGACTTTGGGAATGGGTACAACACGAAGAGGGTGGATCAACTTGGAGGGCTCAGAAGAAGGCAAGAAGATGTGGAACAGTCTGGAACTACCTAGTGACTTGTTAACTGGCTTTGACCAAAATGCTGATAGTGATATGAACAGTGAAGTACAGGCTGAGATGGCCTCAGATGAAGATGAGGAATTTGTTCGGAACTGGAATAAAGGTGACTCTTGCTATGCTTTAGCAAAGAGGCTGGTGGCATTTTGCCCCTACCCTAGAGATCTGTGGAAATTTTAACTTGAGAGAGAAGATTTAGGGTATCTGGCAGAAAAGCAGTAAAGCTTGCTCAAGAGGTGACTTGGGTGCTCTTAAAAGCATTCAGGTTTATGTATTCACAAAAAGATGATTTGGAATTGAAACTTATGCTTAAACGGAAGCAGAGCACAAAAGTTTGGAAAATTTGCAACCTGATGATGCAATACAAAAGAAAAACCCATTTTCTGAGGAGAAATTCAAGCAGGCTAGAGAAATTTGCATAAATAATAAGGAGCCAAATGTTAATCACCAAAACAATGTGGAAAAAGGCTCTACGGCATGTCAGAGGTCTTCAGGGCAGCCACTCTAATCACAGGCGTGGAGGCCTAGGAGGAATAAATGGTTTTGTGGGCTGAACCCAGGGACTTACTGCTTCATGTAGCCTCAGGACTTGGTGTTCTGCATCCCAGCTGTAGCTAAAAGGGGCCAACATACATCTCAGGCCATTGTTTCAGCAGGTGCAAGCCCCAAGCTTCGGCAGCTTCCACATGGTGTCGGACCTGTTGGTCGACAGTAGTCAAGAATTGAGGTTTGGGCTGGGTGCAGTGGCTCACACCTGTAATCCCAGCACTTTGGGAGGCGGAGGTGGGCGGATCACCTGAGGTCGGGGGATCGAGACCATCCTGGCTAACATGGTGAAACCCCATCTCTACTAAAAATACAAAAAATTAGCTGGGCGAGGTGGCGGGCGCCTGTAGTCCCAGCTCCTTGGGAGGCTGAGGCAGGAGAATGGCGTGAACCTGGGGGGCGGAGCCTGCAGTGAGCCGAGATCGCACCACTGCATTCCAGCCTGGGTGACAGCAAGACTCCATCTCAAAAAAAAAAAAAAAAAAGAATTGAGGTTTGGAAACCTCCACCTAGATTTCAGAGGATGTATAGAAATGCCTGGATGTCTAGAGAGAAGTTTGCTGCAGGGGTGGAGTCCTCATGGAGAACATCTGCTAAAGCAGTGGGTAAAGAAAATGTGACCACATAGAGTCCCCAATGGGACACTGGCTAGTGGAGCTGTGAGAAGACTGCCACCATCCTCCAGACCCCAGGATGGTAGACCCACTAACAGCTTGCACTGTGCACTGCACCTGGGAAAGTTGCAGACACTCAACACCAGCTCATGAAAACAGCCGGAAGAAGTCTGTATCCTACCAAGTCACAGAGGGAGGGCTGTCCAAGGTCATGAGAGCCCACCTCTTGCATCAGCATAACCTGGATGTGAGACAAAGAGTCAAATGAGACCATTTTGGAACTTTAAGATTTGACTACCCTACTGGATTTCAGGCTTCCATGAGATCTGTACCCCCTTTGTTTTGGCTAATTTCTTCCATTTTTGAATGGTGTATTTTCCCAATGCTTGCACCCCCATTGTATCTAGGAAGTAACTAACTTGCTTTTGATTTTACAGGCTCCTAGGTGGAATGGGCATGCCTTGTCTCAGATGAGAGAGATGAGACTCTTCCCCCTTCCCTCAGCACTTCTTCTTCTTCCTGCCACCTTGTGAACAAGGTGCCTTGCTTCCCCTTCACCTTGTGTCATGATTGTAAGTTTCCTGAGCCCTCCATAGCCATGCTGAACTGTGAGTCAATTAAATCTCTCTTCTTTATAAATTACACAGTCTTGGGCAGTTCTTATTAGCAGTGTGAAAATGAACTAATACAACTGGCTAAGAATTTTATACTGATAAATGGGTGGGGTGTAAAGAAAAGTAACTGAATACATGGCACCTATAGGTTCCCAATATCCAGAAGAATAGGAAGTCTTCGATGAAGAATCACTCAGTAGGCAACACACAGAGGGTAGTTTCTGAGGATAAAATTTGAGGAAAACATCCTAGCAAAACTGAGCAGGATAATTTGGCAAAGCAAATATGCACATAAGCCCTCGAGTGAGAACACAGTAAAAAAACTGGGAAACAAAATACAAACATCAAGACCAATGATATAAAAAGAAGATAAAAATAAAATTCATAGACAAGAGTAAGAGCTAGACAAAGCTGCCATCAACCTAGATGCAGCTGGAAATTGAACAAACACCATCATGTTTTCTGCAGAGGACTTTATGCCTTATTTTTTATTGATCATTCATGAATACATTTATTCATTGACTCATCCAATTATTCATCAAATATTTATTCATTGATACAATTTTTGGGCAGTATACCAAGCTATGAGTACGCAATGGTAAAGAAAATACTGACACTGCTCACAAATCCATGAGTGAGGCATAAGGAAGAAATATTATGGGTACAAAGAAACACAAAGGAGAGTCAGATAAGTCAGTCTGTAGTAAATCAGAAAGCTAGCCAAAAGACAGGGATTTATATGGGCTATTTCAATAAATATTTATTTTGCTCAATACCCATCTATGCCCAGGAGTACTGGATAATGCAAAGACACTTCTGTTATTGAAGGAAGTTCTATTGGACAGCAGTGCCTTAGACATAAAAAAATGGTGGATTTTAAAAAGTAACTCAAAGTTATAGTGATTCCAGGAACACCTGGTAGAGTAGTGAAAAGTTGAATTAAGAAAAGGAAGAAAGTCCAGAAGTGTTAATAAGTAAGTTATCATAGTGGGCAACTGGAGTGCAATCCCACTGCAGACCTTTGGGACCAAGTATAGAATTGGCCTCAGAATTTTCCCACTACGAAGTGAGAATGATGGAGTCTTTTTTTCATAAGTCCACTTTTGTCATTATTGAGGGATGCTCCCTGTGGAAATTAACTTCCCTGAACCGGCCTATGCGTGAGCCAAGATCATTCTGAAAGTACTGGAGCAATATAATGCCAAGGGTATATGGCTGGGCACAGAGAGCATTTTTTCACAGATTCCTAAATAAAGCGGCTCTCACAGAAATATCTATACTTGCTACATTGATACTGTGATGATACTGTGATGTCCATGTGGTCGCCACAAGATGCAGTACGCTATTTGAATTAAAATTGATAAGAAAAATAAATATAATTTAAAAATTCAGTTTTCTCGCATCAAGCCAACCACATTTCAAGTGTTCAATATTCACGTATCCCTAGGAGTACTGGGAAATGCAAAGACATTTTCATTCTTTAAAGAAGATCTATTGGACAGCAATGGCTTAGACATAAAAGAATACTGGGTTTTTAAAAGAAACTAAAAGCTGTCATGAAATAAAATAAGACGTATTCAATGAACTGGTTCACTAAAGAGAAGGAAATAAGTGGAACAAAACATATATAAGTACTCATATCTAGCTCAAGAGTTCAAATCAGAGCCCAAGATTATTCACTTTGTTTTGGAGGTGTTTAAACTATTATTTGAGTTATTTAACATTTTCATAAAATTATATTCATTTGCTGATTAATGTAAAAATCACGTTTATGCTCACTGCTCTCAATTGCTTCCCAATATAATGTAAATGATATAAAAATGCATGTCATTTATGTGATATTTAAATACTTCTGAGTGCATTTTACAAACTTTGGATTCCAAAACTCAAGAGGGCTTTTTCTAGGCAGAATCCTCTCACACTTGTCCCTGCAGTTGGAAGCTAGAGGGGAAGATACTTTCTTGCAATTATCACAGACTTGGGACAAGAAATCTGCATCAGCTGCTCTGTCTTTTGTCTATGTAAATAGATTTCCTACAGATCCTATATTGTAAACTTTGATTTTATCTGTGAGCATCACCTTGTGTTAAGTCATGTTAGTACTTGCAGCAATCATCAAGCTGGTAGATGGTCATGGAATCACAAAGACAGTATGTAATACTTCAAATCTTAAAATGTTTTAGAAATTAATATTTAATGTAATTTACTGTAATTTTGAAGATCTTTCTAGAACTATTAATGAAAATAATTTTATACTGGTTTTTGTTATTTTAAAATTATAGATATAGTTATTAAGGATGCTGAATAGAAGTTAGATAAATGAAAAAAGAATAGTGAACTATACAAAATCTATCTATTACCATCCGTATTCAAGTGGTAACAAAACACAGAGAAGTATGTATATAAATATATGTTCAATGGTAATTATGAGTTATTATTTTATATGGTATATAAATGCAGCAACCATAGTTAACTATAAATCAAGGTAAAAAATCTAATTCAAGCTTTATAAAATATAATTCAAATAAGTATCCTTAGAGAAGACAAATATATCTCACTGGAGCTAATTATATAAAAAGCTTTGTCTATAACATTACTATATTTATTAAATAAATTAACTTGTTATAGTACAAAAATAGTGAAATGCAATAATCCATATGATGTATTAGTATAAAAATTATAAATGACACTATGAAGTAAGTTATTTAATTTGAAAAATGTTATGTTTTATAACTTTATGAATACTGCTGACATTATTCTTATAAAAAATGGCCATATTACTACAAAGATTAAAAATTTTGAAGACATATATCATTCTGTATTTTTAGATTCTTTTCTCACTGTTATTTTCACTAAGTCACAATTTTGTGGAACTTGGAAAAATGCAATGTTGAATTCCAGAGTGAGTTTCAAAGAGAGAAATATGAACCTTCAGATTAATTTTTAATATATAACATTATGAATATGTATATATCAATTCCTAAGTTTCAGAGAGAGTGAATAAACAAAATGCTACCCTTTACACATCCTCAATTAGCATGGATACAGGAAGAGTTTATTTATTCATCCTTTCTTAGAAGACAGACACATACATGAAGAACATACATATATCTAATCCAGACTTACCTCAGAGATATTGTGGGTTTAATTCCAGAGCACTGCAATAAAGATTATTTTACAATAAAGCGAGTCACATAATTTTTTCCCAGTGTATATGAAATTAGGTTTATACTATAATATAGCCTATCAAATGCTCAATAGCATTATATCAAAAAATACATACTATAATTAAAAAGCACTTTATTGGTAAAAAATGATAATGATCATCTAAGCCTTCAGTGAATTGTAATCTTTTTGCTGGTGGAGGGTTTTGCCTTGATGTTGATGGCTACTGACTGATCACAGTGTTGGTTGCTAGAGGCTACGGTAGCCATGGAATTTTTAAAAATAAGATAACAATGAAGTTTTCCACATAGATTGACTCTTAATTTCATGAAATGTTTCCATATAGCATGAGATGCCACTTGACAGCATTTTACCCACAGTACAACTTCTTTCAAAATTGAAGTCAATCCTCTAAAACCCAGTGTTTCTTCATCAAATATGTTTATGTAATATTCAAAGCCTTTGTTGACATTTCAACAATGTTCACAATATCTTTACCAGGAGTGTATTTCATCTCAGAAAAGCACTTTCTTTGCCCACCCATAAGAAGCAACTTTTCTTCCATTCAAATTTTATCGTAAGATTGCAGGAATTCAAATACATCTTTAGCTTTCCCTTCTAATTCTAGTGCTTCAGCTATTTCCAGCATGTCTGCAATTACTTTCTCCACTGGAGGCTTAAATTCCTAAAATCCGTGAGAGATAGAATCAACTTCTTCCAAACTCCTGTTAAGGTTGATATTTTGACCTCCTCCTGTGAATCACAAATGTCCTGAATGGCATCTAGAATGATGAATCATTTCCAGAAGGTTTTCAGTTTTCTTTGCCAGGATACATCAGAGGAATCATTATCCATGGAATCTACAGCCTTATTATTTATTACTTAAATAATAAGACTTGAAAGTTAAAATTACTCTTTGATCTGTAGGCTGCAGAATGGATGTTGTGTTAGCAGCCACAAGAACATTAATCTCCTTGCACTTTTCATCAAAGCTCTTGAGTGACTAGATCTATTATCAATATGGATATATAAGAATATATTCTTATATATATACTTACATATATTCTTATATATATTCTTACATATATATTCTTTCAAACTATTACTGCTCATTCATTAAGAGCTTTGATGAAAAGTGCAAGGAGATATATATATAAATCTATATATATAGATTAATATATAATATATGTAAATGTATATATATATAGATTAATATGTAATATATATATTCTTTCAAACTATTAGTTTTCAAACTATTACTCTCCTCATTGTCAATGAGCAGTAAATTTTATATATTTATATATTTATAAACATATATGTTTATATATATATTTATATATATATTTATATATATAAATATATATATTTATATATTGATAAATGTATATATTTATATATTGATAAATGTATATATTTATATATTGATAAATGTATATATTTATATATTGATAAATGTATATATTTATATATTGATAAATGTATATATTTATATATTGATAAATGTATATATTTATATATATATTTACATATTGATAAATGTATATATTTATATATATATTTACATATTGATAAATGTATATATTTATATATATATTTACATATTGATAAATGTATATATTTATATATATATTTACATATTGATAAATGTATATATTTATATATATATTTATATATTGATAAATGTATATATTTATATATATATTTATATATTGATAAATATATATATTTATATATATATTTATATATTGATAAATATATATATTTATATATATATTTATATATTGATAAATATATATATTTATATATATTTATATATTGATAAATATATATATTTATATATATATTTATATATTGATAAATATATATATTTATATATATATTTATATATTGATAAATATATATATTTATATATATATTTATATATTGATAAATATATATATTTATATATATATTTATATATTGATAAATATATATATTTATATATTGATAAATATATATATTTATATATTGATAAATATATATATTTATATATTGATAAATATATATATTTATATATATATTTATATATTGATAAATATATATATTTATATATTGATAAATATATATATTTATATATTGATAAATATATATATTTATATATTGATAAATATATATATTTATATATTGATAAATATATATATTTATATATTGATAAATATATATATTTATATATTGATAAATATATATATTTATATATTGATAAATATATATATTTATATATTGATAAATATATATATTTATATATTGATAAATATATATATTTATATATTGATAAATATATATATTTATATATATTTATAACTATATAAATATATATTCATATATTTATAAATATATATATTAATATATGTATTTATATATATAAATACATATATTAATATATGTATTTATATATTTATATACATATATTAATATATGTATTTATATATTAGCATCCGTCTCAACATTAGGCTTAAAATATTTGGTAAACCATGCTGTATACAGATCTGCTGTCACTCAGGTTTTGTTATTTCATTTATAGAGCATAGGTAGAGTAGATTTAGCATAATTCTGAAGGTCCTTAAGATTTTCAGAATGGTCAATGAGCGTTGGCTTCAACATAAAGTCACCAGCTGTGTTATCCCCTAATAAAAGAGTCAGCTTGTCCTTCGAACTTTGAAGCCAGGTATTGGTTTCTCCTCTGTGGCTCTGAAACTTGTAGAAGACATCTTCTTGGAATAGAAGGCTGTTTTGTCTACATTGAAAAATCTGTTGTTAATGTTGCCGCCTTCATCAGTGATCTTAGCCAGATCTTCTATGTAACTTGCCACAGCTTCTATATCAGTACTCATTGCTTCACCTTGCATTTTTATGTTTTGGAGATGGCTTCTTTCCTTAAACGTCACAAATGAACTTCTGTTAGCTTCAAATTTTGCTTCTGCAGCTTCCTCTTCACTCTTAGCCTTCAGAGAATGGAAGAGAGTTAGGGCCTTACTCTGGAATAGGTCTTGGCTTAAAGGGAATGTTGTGTCTGGTTTGATCTTCAATCCAGAACATTCCAACTTTATTCATATCAGCAATGAGACTGTTTCACTTTTTATCATTCATGTGTCCACTGGAGAATCACTTTCAATGTTTTTAAAGAACTTTTCTTTTGCATTCACAAGTTGGGTAACTCTCTGACACAAGAGGCCTTTCAGCCTATCTTGGCTTTAGGCGTACCTTCCTCACTAAGCTTAATCATTTCTAGCTTTTGATTTAAAGTGAGAGACATATGACTTTTTCATTCCATTGATCAATTAGAGGCCATTGTAGGTTTATTAACTGACCTAACTTCAGTATTGTGTCTCAGGGAATAGGGAGGCCTGAGGAGAAGGAAAGAGATGGGAGAACAGTTGGCCAGTGAAGCAGTCAGAACACACATAGAATTTATTAAATTCTGCATCTTATATGGGCACAGTTCATGGTGCCCCAAAACAATTACAGTAGTAACATCAAAGATCTCTGATCACTTGTTACCATAACAGACATAACAATAATGAAAAACTTTGAAATGTGAGAATTACCAAATGGGATGAGACACTAAGTGAGCACATGCTGTTGGAAAAATGGTGCCAGTAAACTTACTAGATGCAAGGTTGCCATAAATCTTAAATTTGTCAAAAGAATGTGATATCTGCAAAGCACAATAACACAAAGGGCAATAAAATCAGGTATGTCTGTGTGATATTTTACCACACTGTGTGCAGGCCCATTCTCTGCGTGGCCTTGAACCAACCCAGTTATCATTTGCAGTTCTCAAGAATAAGTGTAGACTATTTTGGAAATATCACATCCTGATATGAGGGGGAGATGGCCAGAACACAGCAGACTGTTCGAGTCCTTCCAAGAAACAAAATGTCTATCAATGCTTTAGCCCAGTGCGTCATGTAACCATGAGGTATATAACCGGGGCAGACTGCCTTTCAAAGTTTCTTATCTGTGGTGCAAGTGGGGTACACACGACTGAGACTCTGTCTGCTCTGAGTGGTTTTCTGAGCTTCAGAAGACCAGCTCAAAATAAATCCTAGGCTTCTGTTGTCCCTTGCTGCCCATCTGTAAATACTACATCCACTTAATGTAACTTGTTGCTTACGAGCACGTACTGTCTTTTCAAACTCAGACCTGTCTTGCGTAAGTGTGTCCTGTCTCCACCAGACTCTAACCAGAGAACAGTGAACCTCCTTCACAATATGCGGCCTAAATTTCATTTTGAAATGGTTATTTACATAAATTCTTAGTGAAGGAAATTATCAGAGGATTCTTTTTTTTTTTTTTTTTTTTTTGAGATGGAGTCTCGCTCTGTGGCCCAGGCTGGAGTGCAGTAGCGCGATCTTAGCTCACTACAAGCTCCGCCTCCCGGGTTCATGCCATTCTCCTGCCTCAGCCTCCCGAGTAGCTGGGACTACAGGCACCCGCCACCACGCCCAGCTAATTGTTTTGTATTTTTAGTTGAGACGGAGTTTCACCGTGTTAGCCAGGATGGTCTCGATCTCCTGACCTCGTGATCCAGCCGCCTCAGCCTCCCAAAGTGCTGGGATTACAGGTGTGAGCCACCACGCCCAGCCTATCAGAGGCTTGTCTTAACTCTGCCCTGTCATCTTTCTCCCTTGGGATAATTTTCATCCAAGCAAGTTTCCTTTATTCCTTTCATAATAAAATTCTAACCATACCATCTGTTTTTTCTTGATGTTTAAAACAGATAGTTCTGCACTCTAAAAGCAATACACAATAACAGCATAACAGCCCTCCAACCAGAGAGTAAAAATCATAAACTCTTGCATATACAACCAATAGAGAAAACAATTTGGAATTCTCCTTAAGTTCCCTTAAATAATAAGAATACTGTGCCAAGTTATACAATGCATCAGAATGACTGCAGTATTTAGTTCAGACAAGAGAAAGAAAATTTAACATCTTCAGTTAAATTATTGTTCTACTCTTTCTATTAATAACTATATATGTCCAGGCATTGTCAAAAAGCTTAATAATGCATAATGAAATACACTACTGCCTATAACTTAATTGAATTGTGCACTTACAATAAGTAAACATTTTATGGTATGTAGAATGTATCTCAATAAAACTGAAGATAAAGCATGACTTACTGGTTGACTTTAGAATATGTGGCATATTTATAAAGGATGGAGAGCACCTATAATGCTAAAATTGTTGGTTGGAATCTAATGACTTGTGTGCGCTTATAATGGACTATTTAACTACATATTCTAATAAGAAATAAAAAATTGCTGAAGAAATTTTCACATTCTATTCACCAGGTACTCTAAACTCTATCCTTAAATTATATAGAACAAATAGGTGACAATGCATTTTAGCATATGATCTTATCTTTAATGAGTTGGTTTTATTAGAAACTTCCCTGCGAATCTTTCACCAAATGTAAAGTAAGATTGTTGATGAGGACATTGCATGATCCAGACATTATTTTACTTAAGGTGGGATGTATGAGAACATCTTGGTATTCATCCTTAGATTAAGATTTGCTTTGTTTCAAGATTTGCTATTCTTTCTACTTTCTACTAATACACATTATGTGACTTTCCATAGAAGCAGTTAGAGTAAGAAAGGGAGATACTTAAAATTGAGATTGTGTTGTCATTGCTGTGGCTGGTAATGGCTGAGTCTAGATGGTATGAGTGAGTGGCTGAGGTAGAGTGGAGAATAAGGTTAAGGAGACGAGGTTCGGGGAAGGTAGGAACAATTGTATGAAAGTAATAGAGAAAAGGAAAAGAGACACCTACATCTCCTGCCATAGATACACAAAAGCTACTTACTAGACCCTCTGGGTTCTGCTGCTATTTTCATTTAGAACACGTATGGAGAGCTTGACTCCATTTTATTCCCTGTCTTGTCTAGACAATAATGGACTAAAGTCTGGCAGAGGCAATTTACTTGTAAATTACCTATCTCATCAGTCCAGTGATGTCTAAACACTCCATTGTGACAATGTTTACCATTTTCCAAAGCACAGACTTTTCTGTAACTTCCAGGATTATGACAAGGTATCACAGATATTGTTAAACTTAGTACTTTCAGACCACTCTATTCAATATTGTTTACATTCTAGAAAGCAAAAAGTTGGGCAGAATGGGCAGGATAAAATGCGTTTCTGTCACATACTCATTTTTCTCTGTTTTTGAAAATGTAGATTATTTGAAAACAACTAAGAAATATTTATATTTACAAAAGAGTTGATAAATGCACATTGTATATGCAGAACAAATTATAGAAGTAAAATTAGTATTGATCATAATTAAGTATAATTAATAATGAATTAATGATTATAGTGGGCAGACAAAAAATGTGTGTGACCTAAGGCTTATAAGCAGTTAGCATTTTAGAAAATGTCTTAAAATTATGGACTTTAATATACTATTCATTAATTTGCTTTTTGTTCAGTAACTATTTTTTAAGTCACTTACTATATAGGATGTACATAAGACTTATTTTTGAATTTATATTAACCTTATAATAAATAGAACTATGTTTTTATTTAGGTAAATATTTTTAAGTTAAGGAAATACATACCTTTTGTATTAAAATTGCATGCATAATTTTAAATGTAATATATAAATTTACTTTTATAGTTGTCTACTGAGAACGTCATAAAAATAGCATTTGATTCACGACCATTTTATTAATAATGATGTACTGCAAGTGACTTTATAAAGAACTTGGTTGAAGATTAAAAATTATTCTAACAGGCCGGGCGTGGTGGCTCATGCCTGCAATCCCAGCACTTTGGGAGGCTGAGGTAGGCGGATCACGAGGTCAGGATATCAAGACCATCCTGGCTAACATGGTGAAACCCCACCTCTACTAAAAAAAAAAAAAAAAAAAAAAAATTATTCTAACAAAGACCTAGAAAATCAAGATAAATTGTATTGCAATTGTTTCATTTAGTGATATATTGTGATCATTTCTATGATATTAAAAATATAAGCTTTGTTCTGCCAAATACTTTAGAAGATGATTTATTTTCCCTCTTTTGGTTATAGCATAGCTTGTTTCAGATTAGGTTGCAGCTATGTGACGAGTTGTTAAATGAAAATTTAAATTCCAGTAGGTTTAAAATAGAAAATCACTGCCTGACTTCAGGCTATCTGCCTGGTAATTGCAGAAAAAACTTCGTTAGGTCCGTGTAGAATGAATGAGCACAGGCTCTATGAAATGCTGTTCAGACAACCATCCAGCAGAGAAAAGACTTTGAAGATGATTGCCTTAGGAGTTATTGAGCACACATACTGAAGAAGTAATTCTAATTCAAAGAATGAAAACCTTCTTGATTTTTATGAAGATAACTTACTAGAACCACTGGAAAGTAACTACTGCATTCAGCACATAATTGGTATTTAAGAAACATTTTATCTGACTGAGTTAGCAATGTAGGTTGAAATGGAAACCAATTTACTCTTGTTGGAGTTTAATAACCACATCTGTGTTACACATTAAAAATAAGAAATATAAGGATGCTGTCCTGAATTGAAAGTTGAATAATAAAATAAGGAAATGATAAAAGTGCCTGGCCAATATTTTGATGTCTTTGCATATTGCAAACTAATCATTTTTTCAATTTAAATAAATCAAATGGTGATAAAAAAGAAAGTATAAATAGTAAAGATTTTAGAGACCACATTTGCTGTAGAGACATATAGTTATGAGCTGATATTCATGTTTTCCTTCTTCCTTATATAATCCTTAATTATTCTGGTGGATAAATGGCTGCCCATTGGGAAGGGAGAGCTCAGATTTAGCAAATGCTTCTGCAGTTATGCATGACCAT
Organism: Homo sapiens; assembly: GCF_000001405.40. Lineage (NCBI taxonomy): Eukaryota > Metazoa > Chordata > Mammalia > Primates > Hominidae > Homo > Homo sapiens. Next base: position 21,704,947 of record NC_000005.10, on the reverse strand, counting down.
GTGGTTAAGTTCTGGTCAAGGAAATCTTAGTTGATATGGTGAGTAAAACTTATCCTCAAAGAGAAGAACAACTGCTCGGTTGATTGCTTTCTCTTGCTGCTAATTGGAATACGGACTTAATGGTTGAGGCTCAAAAATCCTTTTGTGGGAATCCAAGCGGAAACTATATGTAAAACTGAGTGATTAAAATAAGATGCTACTACCTACCTCCTTAGCTTATCTACTTCCAGATTGCTGTATATGACAGTGAAACATCTACATTGTTTAAACCATGGTCATTTTATCACTCAAAGGCAAACTTAACCCTAATTGATTCAGCCTTGTATACCATTATAACCTGCTTATCTATTACACTGATAAACGAAATTTAAGAATCATAGTTTTGAATAGACATTACATTAAACTACCTCTCCTGTCATTTTTTCCTACTTATGGACTCAATTTCTGATCAGGGTAAATAAGATGCTTTCACATTTCTGACAATTCCATTTAAAAAGCCATCACTGAGATTCTTGGTTAGAAAACTTATGTTCAATGCCTAAAGGAAAAACTATTCAACACATAACAAGGCTTGGGATGCCAAACAAAATCATATCTCCTCCTCTGATTGGGAGCAGTATTTCATAACACGATGAACTATGATGCTGCGGGACCACATTCTAACCAGCAGAAACCGGCTAGTGTGGAGGAGAGGTAATTCAAATTGTTCTTTCCCTTAAAATGCTCAACAATCTATATTGCTGATGAGAAAGAGGAAGAGAAGTCAAACTAGACAGCCAGAATGGAAGAGGAAAATTACCTTTTGTTTGAGGTAATAGGTACTCAGCAGTTGGAAATTATATTTAAATAACTAAAATCCCAAAATTCAATGCGTTTCTCTTGTGGTTTGGTCATGACAGGTTTTCTGCATAGCAATGATGCTCAAATTGGAGCAAGCTGCAGTCATTTAGCAGGTCTTAGGAAAGCATGGGATTCTGAGTCCCACTCCACAGTTTCTTATTTGGCAAAGGTAGGTGGGGCCTGGGGATGTGCTAAATTTCTAGATAATAGCAGTAATTCAGATACAGGATTCACATTTCAGAACATTTTTTAAGTCATTGGAGATTCATGCCTATTAGCTCAAATGAAGGTAGATTACAGGGTGAAAGGGAGAGCGAACTTGGGAGAAAGCCTGTTAATTCTACCAAAAGTTATCTACCATATATGTTCTTTAAAATGTGTGGCAGCAGTGCCAGAGATGGACTGAATAGAAGTAGGCTGATTTGAAACCCCAATGATAGCCTGAGCTCAGGGCTGACATCAGACATGAAGAAGTTAGATTAACTTTAAAAATATATATTTCTAAGGCAGAAAATTACCAAGATCTGAGAGAGAAAAGCCAAGAATGATTCTGGATGCCTGGCTTCTCTGACCACCATTAATGGTACTGATAAGACTAGAAGTTAAGTTCTATGTTGGATGTGGAGTTTTAAGACTGGGCTTTCTGTAAAAGAGTGTGTTTCAAACTTAAGTGTGCGTGACAGTTACATGGGGTGCTTTGAAAATACAATTCCCAGTCATTACCCCAAACCCACTGATGAAGTTTATGGGTGTGATCAAAATTTATTTTAAAGAATTACAGGTGATTTTGATTCAAGTGGTCTGTAGCTACTGTTTGGGGAACAACAGTATGGAAAAAAATCGCTTTTAGAGGTAGCCCACATTCCTTGGCACTTGTCGCCTTCCAGCAATGGAATCACTCAGACCTCTGCTTCCTTCATCAAATCTCCCTTCTCTGACTCTGACACTCTCCCTCCCTCTGATGAGGACCCCTGTGATTAGATTGGTCCCACATGGATAATAATAAGAAAGACCAAATAAGAATATGGCAAAAATTTGTATAGTCATTTTGCCAAAGAAAATATACTAATGTCTAATAAACACACAAGAAGATTTTCAACATCATTAGTAATTAGCAAAATTCAAATTAAAACCAAAATAAAATAGCACTATGGTAGGCAAAGAATGGCTATAATAAAAAACACTGTTAATACCAAGTGTTGCTGAATATGTGAAGGAACCGGAACCCTTATACATTGCTGGTGGGAAGGTAAAAATGGTAAAGCACCTTTGGAAAAGTTTGGTAATTTCTTAAGCAGTTAAACATTTCCTTGTACATGACCCATTATTCTACCCCTAACTACCCAGCCAAGCAACATTAAAACCTATATCCACACAAAGACTTGTGCTAAGTGTTCCTAGGAGCATTATTTATAATAGCCAGAAGTTGAAAACATCTAAATAGCCATCAACTGGTAAATAAACAAATAAATTGTAGTCTATCAATACAATTGTATACTCCTCAGCAATAAAAAGAGACAAACTACTAATGCCTCTAATAACATGGATAGATCTCAAAAACATGCTAGGTGAAAAACCCAAACAGAAAAATTATGTATTACATTATTCTACTTAAATGAATTTCTAGAAAAGACAAAAAATATATGTATATATGTGTTTGTATGATTCATATTATATATAAATATATATAGAGAGATAAATCAATAATATATATTAGATCAATAGTTGGTATGAAATGTGAGAGCTGGGCTTGACTGAAAACACAAATATCAGAGTATTTTAAGGTAGTAGAGATATTTAAAAACTATATTGTGATGATCATTGCACAACAATGTACATCCATGTAGTCACAGAATTGCAGTTATGAGGATGAATGTTATGGCAAGTACTTTTTATATACCTCAAGAAAGAGACATGACAACTAAAAAAATAGATACAGAGATACACTTAAAATAAATTAAAAAGAACAATCCATAACATATGAGACAAGATCAAACCTTCACCAAATTAGTCAACATAATCTATTAACAAAGAGAAATATAACTAGGGTTAGTAATTCTTTCTCCCTCCCTCCTGTCTGTGGATTTATATACTTGTACGATTTTCCAATTGAAATGTGTTACAAGTAAGAAGGGAGGATCAAATATCAACATTTTGACTGATTATTTTCTTTATCTAAAATACTTAAAAATCATTTTAAAGGACATGTATTAAAAATTTAGATTAAAAAATCAAAACCCGTTGATATATATTAAAAGAAACTAAAGGTCATGTACTTAAAATACAATTTGAAGTAGGTTCTCCAGCTTCCCACCAAGAAAAGCTTTTTCAAGAAACACATTAAGAAGCTTAAATTTATAATCCTTCAAAACTGACTGGGTGCTTGAAATTTGAAAATGCCACAAACCAGTAAATTGAAACTAGCCCCGTATAACACAAAACCCATGGAGGGGAACCACAATTAAGAAAGAAAGTGAAAGATTTAGAAACAAGGATTAAGCATTTGAGCAGGAGCTATCAGCTTACAAACTGGCAGACAATGGAAAGAGCTAAGCAAAAAAATTGCCCTTAGGCTTTTGAGTTTCTGCACTTCTCTATTATGACAAAAAAGTACTTACAGGAATTAGTCCTTTTTAATATAGATGTTCTATGTACATTGGTAAAACTCTTTCAGTTTTGCTTCCTCTCAAATGCTTACGTGCTTATTTGCCAGTATTGGTGGTTTGATTTGGCTGGAAGCCTCAGGATGCGGGAGTTGTACAACCAAACATACCTGGGATTACATTCAGAGGCAGCTAAATGGACTAACAAAAAATTCTTGGTCAATCTCAATTTTCTCATTTATTAAAGAGAGTAATGCTATTTACTTCGACAAAGGCTTTATTTTTAAGAGTTGAGGTATTTATTTAATAGCCTTCCAAGTAATAAATGTTCATGGTAGTCAGATTCTAAAGATTCTTGAAGTATTAATTGAAACGAACATGAAACTAGGTGTTGCCATAAAGGGATTTTGCAGATGTTATTAAAGACCCAAGTCAGTAGAACTTTAAATAGTAAAATTATCCAGGTGGGCCTTACCTAATTCCTTTTACAAGCAGAAAAGTTGCCCTAGCTGGTAGCAAAAGACAAAGTCAGAAATTCAAAATATGGGAGGGGTTTGATGCACATTCAGTGTCTTAGAGATAGACAGGAACTACTGCAGAACAAGGAATGCCGATGGCCTCTAGAAGGTGAGAGTGGTTCCCAGCTTCCAGCCATCAAGGAAATGGAGATCTCAATCCTAAAACCACACACACAAAAAATTTGGCTGACAACCTGAATGAGCATGGAAGTGGATTCTTCCCCTAAATTGTCCAGTTTGTGTGACCCTAAATATAGAACTTAGTGGTTCCCACCCAGACTTCTGAACAATGTGAAATAAAAAGGGGGTGTTGTTTTAAGCCAGAAAATTTGTGCACAGCAATAGAAAATTGATACTAAATAAAATTTAGTTTTTCTCTCTCTTTCATATAGCTGGGTAGAAACAAAGCCTATTAGCTTTTTTTTAAACACAGCAGTCTACTGTGTGTGATGACTGCATGCTGATACTTACGTTTATTACAAATAATTACTAAAATGTGTAGAACCCTTTAACAGGACTCTTTTAGTCCCTAACAACTGCTATATGCAAAAGAGTTGCAACAGTTTTCAGTATCTTGTTGCACATATGAAATCATTCTTAGAATGAAAGAATTTTAATAAGGTGCTTCCCAATCCTTATATAGCCCTTTTCCACCAGATGATGCAACAGGCATATTCTGGTAAATTCATTAAAATGTTAAAGTGGAGGTGTATATTCATAATGTAAATACTTAAAACCGTGGTGAAGCAAAATTATAATTTACCTGGCAAGTTTTTTGAGCCCTTAAAATGGATGATTAGTTAAATAATTTATGTTTGTCTTAATTCAGGGACATGTACGTTATAGAGATACATTAAGCCACAATATGTCTGTCTCTAATCTGTCCCTACTGACTCTTTCTTCCAATTTGATAAATTTTCCAAGTGAGAGTCAAAGGGAGTGCTTGGATCTATGTAACAGTCTAGCTTGGTAGTAAAAGACTTGATAAGCTAGTGCACACTTTCCAGTTTTCTATAAAGATTAACGTACCCCTAAAGTAATTACAGTAATGTAGATCCAAGCCTAATCACTTTTTATATCCTTAAAAGGTTACTTTCACCCAAACCTTCCAGAGCCTGGCTGGCCACCTCCTTGGCTGACTTTGCCTTGGCTCTATCACTGCAGCCACTGTTTCTGTGACAACTATTAACATGTATTATCTCTAACCCCTGTTGGAGAGATCTTCAAGTTTAACACAATTATGGTGACTGATGACAATTAAGTGACCATATTAAGTCTTGAAGGCCAAACGATATGGCACATGTGAAGGAAGAAGGAGGGCAAGGTGGAGAAAGCAGGATATGCTGGTTGTGCTAAAGGCCATTGAACAAGCTGTGGACACTGATGATTCTGAACAGATCAATATGAGGGTGAAGAGTGGGAGAGTGGAAATGAAGGAAATGGAAGGAGGGTAAAACCCTTTGTCTGGAGTTGATTTAGAGGGATAAAAAAAAAAAGATGTCTTTTGGAATCCGTTTTGCCTCTGAACGTTTTCAATTTGTTATTAAACATTTTGCCTTTGGCCGGGTGCAGTGGCTCACACCTGTAATCCCAGCACTTTGAGAGGCCAAGGCTGGTGGATCACAAGTTCAGGAGTTCAAGACCAGCCTTGCCAAGACGGTGAAACCACGTCTGTACTAAAAGTATGAAAATTAGCTTGGCGTGGTGGTGGGCACCTATAATCCCAGCTACTCAGGAGGCTGAGGCAGAGAATTGCTTGAACCTGGGAGGTGGAGGTTGCAGTGAACAGAGATCGTGCCACTGCACTCCAGCCTGGGCTACAGAGTGAGACTCTTTCTCAAAAAAAAAAAAAAAAAAAAAAAGATTTTGCCTTTGTGAAGAACAAGGAAGAGGGTTCTGACCATGATTTCAGCACATAGCACCTGCCTGGGCAGGGAGCCCAAGCCAAGGAAACAGGGAAACTTCCAGTACTATAACGTGCCCAAAGGGAAGCCACATACCAAGTGGAAATGGTTTATCTTCAACAAAAGCATGCTGACCTTAATCAACATCAGTAAGTGGCAAAAAATTATAAGTTTAACTTAAAAGAGCACGGAAGCCCAATGTCGGAGAGAGATTTTTGGTGTTTTTAATGAAAGAGGAGAAACTTAAGGAGGATTATAAAAGTAAAGATCCCCAAGCAAGGGCTCTCAACCTCCACTGCACATTCAGATTATCCAAAGAGCTTTTTGGCATTCCAACAGACCAAACTTGTCTTAAGTTGAAGCTTTTCCCAAAAGTGATAGTAAAGTAATAATCATTATTTAGAAAGTCTGTCCCTGGTCCAGTAATAAGGAAAAGTGGTTTCTAAATCTATCACTGCTGCTAACCACCTGAGTAACTTATTGTTCTTCCAATCAGCATTTCATTTATAAAATAAAATATTTGATCTAGGTTATATATTATATCTCTAGTTTTTTTTTGTTCACAATGTCTCTATATATTACTTATTTATATATGTTGCTATACATATAACGGGTTTGGGGATCAGGTTGGCTAGGTTTAAAATGGGAATTTACTTTCGGTTGTTGTTGTAAGAACATGGTCCACTTCTCAATTTAGTCCTCTGTAAACTAGAAATAGTTAGTTTCTACTTCATAGCATGAGAAAGAAATAAGATAGTACATGCATTAATTAATTAATACTTGGAAAATACAGATTTTTTTAAACCTAAGCTCATATATTTATGTAAATTTTAAAATAAAGTGATAAAATATTTGTGTCTTGTATGCTGTCCGTGTAAATAATATATAGCCAAATTTGTATGTCATAGTATAATATCTATATAATGTTTATATAATTATTAATAATATATACATTTTTCTGACTCCCATAAACTTGCATATTTCTTATGTTAAAGTATTTTTACATGACACTAGTTCTCAGAATGTGAATTAGGAATCACAGTTTTTTCATTTTTTAGGTGATTATATTGGAAGGTGTGTTAATAACATTAACATGAACATCATGTTTACTAGTAGTCAAATCTTCCATTTTTTTTGTAAACAATTATGTTTCCATTTAAAGCCAATTCAAAACCGTTGCTAAAATTTATCTAAAGAAGGGTACCAAAAAATGAACAACGAGAAAATCCAAACGTGAACTCCACTAATAGTTTTATGTATTATAATCTATTTGACACTATTGACATAAAAAGTAAACAGCATCATTTGTATGGATTTCAAATGTAAATGCTGCTCATTTTATTTTCAAAATTGAAAAGTTTATTCACAAACTATTAATATGCTTGGTTTTTTTTTCCATCAGAGAATGTAATTGCTCTGTTTTATAAGCTATTAATGAAATAGTTATAAATATCAGCAGAAGTAAACAAAGAAGTTTTCTCTAATTCCATGAGCTATTGTTTAAAAGCTTATAATTGAGAAAAGAGATAAATGAATGACGTTTTTATTATTCGTACTCACAGCACCAAATTCTTAAGTTTTAGCCTTAATAATTCAAGTATGTGGTGCCTACATGTGCTTTTCACAAAGCTTGAATATTTATTTAAAAGCAACAAACCTACGTAGAATGATCTAATGTCAATATGTATATCTCTCAATATATATTTCCACAATATTAGAGTGGTTTATTAGAAAGTATTAAAAAATATATTTAAGGACAATGGAAACGATTATCTATGTTTGTGAAAACACTAATGTGAATGTCAATAGTAAAATTATTTTTAAAGTCATTATCTTTGCTTTAAATTAAATGTTTAATCTATTTTGCTTACCTTACATGCATTAATGTATTACTAATTGTTTTCTTCATTAAAAAGTTACCTTATTAATCAACGTGCAAAAATCACAACATTCCTATACACTAACAACAGACAAGCAGAGAGCCAAATCATGAGTGAACTTCCATTCAGAATTGCTACAAAGAGGTTAAAATACTTGGGAATACAGCTAACAAGGAATGTGAAGGACCTCTTCAAGGAGAACTACAAATCACTGCTCAAGGAAATAAGAGAGGACACATACAAATGGAAAAACATTCCATCCTCGTGGATAGGAAGAATCAATATTGTGAAAATGGCATACTGCCCAAAGTAATTTATAGATTCAATGCTACTTCCATCAAACTACAATTGATATTTTTCACAGAATTAGAAAAAAATACTTTAAAATTCATATGGAACCAAAAAAGAGCCGATTTGGTCAAGACAATCTGAAGCAAAAAGAACAAAGCTGGAGGCATCATGCCACTTGACTTCAAACTATACTACAAGGCTACAGTAACCAAAACAGCATGGTACAGATACCAAAACAGACACATAAACCAATGGAACAGAAGAGAGATCTCAGAAATAAAATTGCACATCTACAATCATCTGATCTTCGACAAACCTGACAAAAACAAGCAATGGGAAAAGGATTCCTTATTTAATAAATGGTACTGGGAAATCTGGCTAACTGTATGCAGAAAACTGAAACTGGACCCCTTCCTTACACCTTATACAAAAATTAACTCGAGACAGAATAAAGAGTTAAATGTAAAACCTAAAAACACAAAAGCCCTAGAAGAAAACCTAGGCAATACCATTCAGGAAATAAGCATGTGATTTCATGATGAAATTGCCAAAAGCAATTGCAACAAAAGCTAAAATTGACAAATGGGATTTAATTAAACTAAAGAGCTTCTGACAGCAAAAGAAACTATCAGCAGAGTGAACAGGCAACCTACAGAATGGGAGAAAATTTTTGCCACCTACCCATCTGACAAAGGTCTAATATCTGGAATCTACAAGGAACTTAAACAAATTTACAAGAAAAAAACAAACAACCCCATCAAAAAGTAGGCAAGGGGACCATGTGCAGTGGCTCAGGCCTGTAATCCTAGCACTTTGGGAGGCTGAGGCAGGCAGATCACCTGAGGTCAGGAGTTCAAGACCATCCTGGCCAACATGGTGAAACCCCATCTCTACTAAAAATATAAAAATTAGCCAGGTGTGGTGGCAGGTACCTGTAATCCCAGCTACTCAGGTGGCTGAGGCAGGAGAATTGCTTGAACCCAGGAGGTGGAGGTTGCAGTGAGTGGAGATCATACCACTGCACTCCAGCCTGGGCAACAGAGCGAGACAGTCTCAAAAAAAAAAAAAGTGAGCAAAGGATATGAACAGACACTTCTCAAAAGAAAACATTTATGCAGCCAACAAATATATGAAAAAAGTTCAACATCACTGATCATTAGAGAAATGAAAATCAAAACCACAATGAGATACAATGTCAAATCAGTCAGAATGGTGATTATTAAAAAGTCAAGAAACAACAGATGCTGGCGAGGCTGCTGAAAAATAGGAATGCTTTCACACTGTTGGTGAGAAAGTAAATTAGTTAAACCACTATGGAAGTCAGTGTAGCAATTCCTCAAGGATCTAGAACAAGAAATACCATTTGACCCAGCAACCCCATTATTGGGCATATACACAAAGGAATATTAATCATTCTATTATAAAGGTACATGCACACGTATGTTTATTGCAGCACTCTTCACAGTAGCAAAGACTTGGAACCAACCCAAATGCCCATCAATGATAGACTGGATTTTAAAATATGTGGTCCATATACACCACGGAATACTATGTAGCCATAAAAAGGAATGAGTTCATGTCCTTTTCAGGGACATGGATGAAGCTGGAAGCCATCATCCTCAGCAAACTAACAGAGGAACAGAAAACCAAACGCTGCATGTTCTTACTCGTAAGTGAGAGTTGAACAATGAGAACACATGGACACTGGGAGGGGAACAACACACACCAGGGCCTGTCAGGGGATGGGAGGTAGGGAGAGCATCAGGACTAATAGCAAATGCATGTGGGGCTTTATACCTAGGTGATGGATGGATTGATAGGTGCAGCAAACCACCTTGCCATATGTTTACCTGTGTAACACACCCGCACATTCTGCACATGTATCCCATAGCCTAATTTTTTAAGTTGCCTTATTTATCTATTTATTATAGTCAAAGTGCTATGCTTATTACATTGCAAATGGTTTGCTTCATTGAAATAACTATAATAATAGCAAAATATTTTTTTGGAAAGCTTAGTGTAAGTGTTTTGTGAAAATGAGCAAATATAAACAGAACTTAAATGGTTTAGTGAGTGTTTCAGATATAGCGAATGAAAAACAAGGACTGAAGTTTATGGTATATTGAAGGAATGTGATGGTAAAAAGATGTTCCAGGCATGTTATGAATAGCTGATTAAGGAATACAGAATTCCTTAATGGGGAGAAAGTGGAATCTGTTGAGCAAGATGGTAAACATCTCACTGCGATACTTCCAGAAAGGATAAGAAATGACATTTATTGAACTCCTCATTTTCTGAGGGTTTAAGGTCACACAGTGAATAAGTAAGTTTGGAAGGGGAACTAAGAAAAATTTCACTCCAGAGCTTGTGTTCCTTCTATTATACTGCATTGCAAGGCAATGTAGAATGAATAGAAAAAGAATCAATGTTTAGATTACTAGAAATATCCAAGTCAGTTAAAGGCCTGCTTCAGAATATAAAGTCAGGAAAGAGAGAAAATAACATTTTTGAGTTTTGTATTTTCACAGGAAAATAATGATGAAGTGTTATAGAAGCAAGGATGTCATGATCCACAGCTTGTAATTCATTTTGCTAGTGTGTGCTGGGGTGGATGGATGGTGATGGGAGGCCATAGGGCAGAGAAAATAATAAAAGCAAACCTCCTGAAAACACAGAATGGGAAGATGTTAAAAGTAGAAATTTGATTTTAAGACAGAATTAGACCCAGGACACATATGGAGTGTATTAAGATGCAGTAAACCAAGAAACATTTTTTTTAAGTGACAAAGTTGAAAAGGACAATAACTGAGAAAAGCTGCTTTATTTGTAAATTAAAAAGTCACTGTTGGCCTTTAGATAAGGAATCAAATGTCAACATAGGATCACTCAATAGAAATAAAAAAACAAGTTGCAGTGTGATGAAATGAATTGCTAGAACTAGACATTTCTTTCTCTTAACATAGTGTAGCAGCTTCATGAAATTTTGGAGCAGGGAGAGAGAATGCCAAAAGTTCCTGACACATTGAAATGACTCTATAAATATTTGTTGAATTGACTTCAATACAATTGAAATGTTAATGAAAAGTTTTAACAGCAGGTCATAACTTGTTCACTGTTTACTTCAGTGGAGGATATGAATGATCCTGACCAGACATCCTTGTAAAAATTTTAATGGCAAGGTACTATCAGAAAGAAATGGGAGTCCTTATCTGTAAGATATTTTAGAGGGATATATCTAGTCCACATAAATTGCTTAATGTCAATCTAGAAGTTATGGATTTATGAGATCTGGCTGACTGAAGAATGGAGGATAGTGATATAAGTGTAGTCCTATTGAATTAATAGAGTATACAAAGAAAAAATTTTAAAATCAGAATGACTTTGTTTTATGGTCAATGACTCAAAAAAACTATTCTATTAATAGGAAATTATAATTTGTTTCAATGAGAGATAAAGGAACATTCTAAGAAGCTGTATCAGATCCTTTTGGTTCCTCCAGAAAAAGAAGGTTTCTTTGCATCTGTTGCTTTCCTGTTTCATACGGATCATTAGTGAAGTTTAGTAGAATGTTCCTGAGACTGATTTGACAGCTAAACCTTTATAATAGCACAGGTGGTTACTGGGGGTCTTTCAAGACATTTAGTATTCATCTTTATTTATTTAGAATAAAGGCAGTGTTTGGTGTCATTAATATTACTGTTATACTGTTAAAATTATACTCGTGTCCCAAGTGAAGGCTTCTTTTTTTCTACCTCTTTCCATGCACTGAATAATTACACTTCCACTGGGATTTCTTGTTTAAAAGTGCATACCATATTTATATTTGGCTCAATTATTTTAGAATTGCCTTGTACTTCCCTTTAATTCAATAAATCTTATCCAAGATAAAACTAAGCTCCATTGAATACCTAAAGTGTCTCTGGGGACAGAGATATTTAATATGTGTGGTTATTTTACACACATTATCAGAAATGAACATCAGAGCACTCTGTTGAAGGGATGTTGGATTTTACCTAAGAGACAAATGGGATGTTAAAAAAAAACTTGAGAAAATTAATTTAAGTTACTCTCAGAAAATCTGAAACTCTTTTTTTTGCTCTGGGGTAATATCTTCACTCAGTTTTTTGCAAACGTTGGAAAATACGGCACATAAAATAACAAAACTTCTGCGTTTGAGCCAATGATCTCTCCCTTTTATTTCACTTACCCTCTTACAGTTTTCAGCATGCTTTTATTTTTATAATCTCTTCTTTTTTACTCTGTCAAATAGGTCATTTTTGTTTTCTACTTTTGTCTCACCCACCAAATATCTTTAGAAAATTGTTGATTTAATCAAATACAGATTTGATATGCCTCTAAAGGCAAAAAAAAGTAACTTCTCAGGAAATATGTGCCTGAGGTTATGTGTGTAGTTCTTTGTTTCCTCACTGATTTTGGTCCTTTTGTAAGTCAAGATAACCTAATGATCTAACTGTTATAAACACTGCACAGACTTCAAATCTCAACAATTTGGGAATTAAGCTATGAGCTTTTTCCATGACTTCTCATTCCAGGATCTATGCTTCAATCATTTTTTTTTCCCTATAAGAAAATAATGCTCACCACCGTGATATAGTTTTCCTGTGTCCCCACCCAAATCTCATCTTGAATTGTAGTTCCTATAATCCTCATGTGTGGTGAGAGGGACCCAGTTGGAGGTAATTGAATTATGGGGGAAGTTTCTTCCATATTATTCTTGTGATAGTGAGCAAATTCTAATGAGATCTAATGATTTTATAAGGGGCTTCCCCCTTTGCTCAGTTCTCATTCTTCTCTTTCCTGCTACTATGTGAAGAAGGACATATTTGCTGTCCCTTCTGCCATGACTGTAAGTTTCCTGAGGTCTCCCCAGCCCTGTGGAACTATGCGTCAATTAAATCTCTTTCTTTCATAATTAACTCAGTCTCAGGCAGTTCTTTATAGCAGCGTGATAACAGACTAATACACATTGCTTCATCAATTCAGTGATTTTCATGTAGTACGCAGTCATGTAATTAATAAGTATTTAACTATGAACGCTTTGCCAGGTTGTTTGCTATCTGTTCACAATAAAAAGGGTGTTAATTTATGTAATATTTTCCTCTAATATATTCTTATATATATAAAACAGCTCATTTTAGAAATATACATTTACTTCTGCTTTTAAAAAACTGGAGCAATTTGGGGTAAGCCAAAGCTTCCACAATTTAGGCTGCAGAATATCATTAAGTATTCTTGTTCTCAACTTTCAAACCTACATCCTCCCTCTCCTGTGGCCCATACACTCCTTTTCAATTTCTTTTTTCATTCAATTCAGAGAATAAACATGTGGCTTCTCTGGATTAAAGTTTTCCATGTATCAGATACAACTATCCAATCTACAGGCTTTCAAACTCTTTCCTTATTTGTAGCACATAGTCTACCCTTATTTTTTCTCTGGTACCTCCAAATCTTTATTCTCCTAGAAGCTTTTCTGGGTGGTTTTGATTTACTTTACATTTTTCTCCTTCTGAATACATGCAGTATTGAATATCCTCCAGTCTTTAAAATTAATATTAATTGCTGCATATATTCAGCATGGGGATTTAGTATACAAATGTAGAGTTTCTGGTTAAATATAGCCAATTGGCTATGCTTTAAAATAACTTCTTTTTTTGCAAAACTCTATACAATTGGCTTAATTCAATAAAAATTTTAAAAGATCAAGATGAAAAGAATAGGGTAAGAAATATATATATATATTTGTGTGTGTACATATATATGTGTATATATAGGTGTAAAAACATAGTTTTAAGATGAAAATTAGACTTATGATTGAATAATTAGTTATTATTAAATTTTACAAGTGTAGAAATTGCAAGGTAATATTTTTAATATTGCAGGTAGAGAAACTGGGTAATACCAAGCTTACATTACTTGCTTAAGGGTCTTCTCTTAACAAGAAAACCAAGTGGGCCTCAAAACAAAGTCTATTAACTCATATGACATTTTTTCCCAGTATAATACACAATCATGTCATTTGACTAGATAAATCTAAATCGCAAATAGCCTTATTCTTTCAGCAAGAAAGATTTTTTTATGTACTTTTTTGTGTTTCATATGCTGTGAAAAAAACAAAGAAAACATTGCTGAAGCATGTTGGGAAATATTTCAGTACCAAAACACTGAAAGAATAGACATATTATTCTTTGAGTTAAAGTATCCATAACTAGTGAATGAGAAGAATTATAAAAATATTTTGTCAAGTTCTTCTAAATCTCCAAAGAAAATGGTAAGCCTCAAGGATGAATTTTCATTGCATATTGAATTTTAAAGTAAAATAAATTTTAATCAGAGCTTTTGCTTGAGATTGGGATTGGACTAGGTGGATGGCAACAAGAAATTACTATGAAAGTTTCAAAATTATTGCTAGGAAGGTATACTATTTTCTGTTTCATTTAAAAATATTTGCTCAATAAGAATGATCTACATATCAGTAGTTCCTATGATTCTCTATTTCAGTGATATTTATGCTATTTAAAATGAGAAAAGAATTTATACAAATTTTTTCTACTCAAGTCAGGTGCTCAGAATTGAGAAAATAAGTCTAGGATCTTTACTAAAATATATTGATCATAATTAAGGAAAATGACTAGAGAGAGGAATTATGAATAAAAATGATAGATCTTGAGTTACCAAACCAAACGATGTTGTTTCCATGTTTCCAAAATTATTTGTGGTCAATTACAGAAATACACCATAGGAATCAGCAAGATAGAAATAACAGAATACTTTTAAACCAGTAAAAGCCTGAACATAGAAATGAGTGCCATGAAATTCACTACAGCTTTATAACTTGGAGAGCAAAATCAACTTGTAGCTTTCTGGCAGCCAAAGTACAATTATGCTCAGTTACAACTTTCAAAACTTATAAGTGGTGTTAGTTTTATGAACAAGTTTCAAAATTCATAACTCGTTCAAAAAATTAATATACCAGTACACTGAGGAATCATAAAGAGGGAAATGGTGCAATTCTGGCTTAAGTAAGGTGGAAATGCCAGCAGAAGGAAAAACAACACCATTGCCCAGAGATAAACAAGACAGTATTGAATTCACAAGGTTTCTCTAGAAGCCCATAAATAACTGAAATTACTTTCCCTTATAACTGAGTCGGCTCGCTCCAGGGAAAACTGCTCTTCTTGATAGTTTTCAGCAAATCAGTTTGCCAAGGGAGGGGAAAATAAAACAAAACAAATTTGTACATGTTTTTCTTTTCCATTGACTTTTTTGTTCATTTGTAACTCTCCATTTCCCTTTGAAGAAATCTACATGTGACTAATTTCTCTTATGTATGACTAATTCAGTTGTAGGTTTAACTAAATTAAACATCTATTTCTTCTTAATACTACTTGGAAAAATAAAAATTTTATTTTTTATTGTCATCTGAGAAATCAGATCTTGAATTTTTCCTTAATAAAAAGGCTCTTAGTGACTTTATAATAATCAATAGTCTTACAACATATATAATAAAAATCTCTATATGCAATTTACTATATTCCTCAAGTAGCTCATTTGTGCAACTACAAAATATATTTCCAAAAAGCAGTTCTATAGAGGAAGCAGCTACTTGTGCGGCTGTTTGATAGTCAGCATGATCTAACAATCAGATTTAGAATATCTTTACCAATAGCTCTAAAAGTTTAGTGTGAGTTAGATTCACTTTGACAGTTTTAAAGTGCAGATTATCCTCCCACAATCTCCAACCACAATTCTGCTTAGTAGGTTTGACATGTAATCAAGAAATACGACTGTTTAATAGCTAACAAGATGAACTTGATGCTTATGACCCAGGACAACACATTGAGAAACACTGATTGAGGTTTTTAAAAAAGTAGTTTGTACATCTCTAAGAAAACCTTTTGTACATGTTAGTTATCCTAACTGAAAATTTTATTAAAGTATGAATAGCATAGAATGTGTGATTATAGTCTCAAGCTTGGATTGAGGTAATCTTGGTTTGTGTAAATACATTCTATGATGTTTGCATGATTGAGTCATGAGTCCCTTAACCACATAGATGCATTCTGAGAAAAGTGTCCTTAGGCAATTTTTTCATTGTGCAAACATCATTGCATGTACAAATCTAGATGGTAGAGCCTACTATACACCTAGTGTACCAGTCTGTTTTCATGCAGCTGATAAAGACATACCCGACACTGGGAAGAAAAGAGGTTTAATTGAACTTACACTTCCACATGGCTGGGAAGGCTTCAGAATCATGGCGGGAGGCGAAAGGCCCTTCTTACATGGAGGAGGCAAGAGAAAATGAGGAAGAAGCAAAGGCAAGAACCCCTGATAAACCCATCAGATCTCATGAGACTTATTCACTATCATGAGAATAGCACGGGAAAGACCAGCCCTCATGATTCAATTACCTCCCCCTGGGTCCCTCCCACAACATGTGGGAATTCAGGAAGATACAATTCAAGTTGAGATTTGGTGGGGACACAGCCAAACCATATCACCTAGGTTATAGTGTGTAGTAGGCTATACAATTTAGGTTTGCACATGCAACGATGTCCAAAAAGAAAATCATTGTATGTTTATACATGCAATAATGGTTTAGCCTACTGTTCCCAGGCTACAACCTGTAGAGAATGTTAATGTACTGAATACTGTAGGCAACTGTAATACAATGATAGGTATTTGTGTATTTAAATATATGTAAGCATACAAAGGCACAGTAAGGATACAGTATAAAAGACAAAAAAAAAAAAAAGGTACATTTTCATAGTGCATTCTACTAAGCCAGTCTTGCTTTGCTATAAAGAAATACCGAAGACTGGGTAATTGATATAGAAAAGAGGTTTAATTGACTCACAGCTTCTTCGGGCTGTGCAAGCATGGTGCTGCCATAGCTTGGTTTCTGGGGAGGCTTTGGGGAGCTTTTATTCAGGGAAGAAGGAGAACCCGGAGCTTGTGCATTACATGGTGAAAGCAGGAGCAAGAGAGAGAGTAGTAGGTGGGGGAGGTGTCACACACTTTTAAATGACAAGATCCCATGTGAACTCAGAGCAAGAGCTCACTTACCATCACCGGGGGAATGGCACAAGCCATTCATGAGGGATCTGCCCCCACGATCCAAATACCTCCCACCAGGCCCCACCTCCAACATTGAGGATTACAATTCAACGTGAGATTTGGGTGGGGCATTCAAACCATATCAGGCACTTACCACGAAATATGCTTACAGGATTGGAAATTGCTCTGGGTAAGTCAATGAGTGAGAGGTGAGTGAATGTGAAGGCATTACTGTACACTACAGTAGACTTCATAAACACTGTACACATAGGCTATACTAAAGTTTAAAAAATAGTTTTTTCTTTCTTCAATAATAAAGTATCCTTAGCCTACTATAATTTTTTACTTTATAACTTTTTTTAATTGTGACTGTTTTATAATAACACTTAGCTTGAAACCCAAACACACTGTACTGCGGTACAAAAATGTTTTCTTTCTTCATATCCTGGTTCTATAAGCTTCGTTCTATTATTAAATTTAATTTTAAAAATTTTCAATTTGTAAATATGTTTACTAAAAACCAAGACACACATATTAACTTGGGCCTACCCACTATTGGATCATCAATATCACTATCTACCCCTCCACATCTTGTCCCATTGGAAGGTCTTCAGGTGCAATGACATACATGGAGCTGTCATCTCCTGTGATCACAATGCCTTCTTCTAGAATGTTTACTGAAGGAACTGCCTCAAGCTGTTTCACAGTTAACTTTTTAAATTTATATAAGTGGAAGTGTACATTCTAAAATAAGATAAAAAGATAGTGTAGTAAATACATAAGCTAATAACATAGTCATTTATTATGAAGTATTGTGTAAAAATATATGTACTAGGCTTTATACGACTAGCAGCACAGCAGGTTTGTTTAATCAGCATCATCAAAAACACATCAGTAATGCATTGCTCTGTGAGGTTAGCAGGGCAATAGGAATTCTTCAGCGCCATTATAATCTTACGGAACCATCTTCCTGTAAGAGGTCCCTTGCTGACTGAAACATTGTTACATGTCATATGACTGTAATTGCATTTACAATTGCATTATAACAAACACATGAAATACTCAGATATAACTTTAACAAAATTATTAAAATTTATACACACGGCTGACAGAAAGATCTAAATAAATGAAGACATATACCATGATCATGAATCATGAGAATTAACATTATTTAGTTTTTATTTTTTTGGATTTTACGTATACCATGATCATGAATCATGAGAATTAATATTATTTAGTTTTTATTTTTTTTGAATTTTATTGAGGTAAAATTGACAAGGTATATTTAAGGTGTTCTGATGAAAAGAAAAACTAAGGGTATGTTTTTCCTATTTTCAACACTCACATACTCAATACTTCTGTGACTCCAGATGTGTGATGGTTTTTCCTTATACACCAATCAATTATCCAGCAAATTATTCAGCAAACCCCAGCTGGCTGTCCTCTAATTCAATTTAATTCTGATACTTTTTACCTGGGTACAGCATCAGCTCTCTCAGGTTGAGGTCTCAGCAGCACAAGACTTTCCCCCAACTTCAGATGCTAGTTACACAGGCTGGGAGCTGTGTCTCTGGCCAACCAGCTAGAAATCAGGGTTCCCACAATCTCCTTATTGGGTTTTATTACCTTGCAACAGTACTTCAGAGAAAAATGTTGTAATTACACATATTCATTTATTATAAAGGATATCACAAAGATACAGATGGGCAGCGTGATGGAAGAGATGCATAGAATGAGGGCATGAGGTCCTCATTAGAATGAGGCAAGTGGAAAGAGGGGTGGAGCTTCCATGCCCACTTCAATTATCACCCTCCAGAAACCTCCATGTGTTCAGCTATTCAGAAGCTCTCTAAACCTTGTCCCTTTGGGGTTTTATGGAGGCTTTATTATATAAGCATAATTAATTAAATCATTGGTCTTTGGTGATCACAACTCAACCTTCAGCTCCTCCGATCTCCTTACAGGTTGGAAAATGGAGCTGAAAGTCCCTATTTTGTAATTCTGTCTTGCTCTTTCCAGTGACCAGCCCTACTCTAAAGTTATATAGAGGCTGCCAGCCACCAGTCATCTCATTAGCATACAAAAGACACCCTAATCATGTAGGAGATGCCAAGAATTCTGTGAGTCATATGCTGAAAGGGAGGAGAAAGACCAAGTGTATATCTCACACTATCACACGTGTACAACGCGATGTTTTGATATATGCATACATTTGGAAATGATCACCACAATTAATTAAATTAATGTGTCCATTACCTCACATAGTTACCATTTTTTTGTAATGAAAATGCATAAGATCTACCTTCTTAGTAAATTTCAAGTATATAATACAGTATTGTGACCTACAGTATAGTATAGTTATCAATACTGTTTAAATATCAATGTTCCCAAAATTGATCAAAAGATCAAGAAATACTAATCAAAATGTGTATAGTAAATGATTTTTCTTGCTTAAAGAGAGGTTTGATCTTTTGTTTGGCTCCTGAAAAATAACTTCTAAGCCTTTGGAATGTCCTACCCAATAAAGGTGTCTCTGTTTAGCTGCATGTTTATGGCCACACCAGATAGTCTGTGCTAACAACGTGATTTATGTTGTATAGTGGAGGATCTTGAGTCACATGTTATCAGCTTATCAGCTGGACATCTGAAGGAGTTGGAGGCTAAGGTCAGTAACATGGTGAGCAATAATTTTTATGTAATTGAATGCAATGAAAACTCTAGACATCAAAGCTGGGCTGAGCTTTCTGGTTGGTATAGTCCATGCATATTGTCACATATTCCTGCTTAGAGAAATAGATTCTCTACCCAAGACTCCACTGGGAGAGTAGAAAGGGAAGCTTCATAGCTAGGTATTTCCTGGACTTTCGTCTATGTGCTTCTTCCCTCTGCTGATTGCCATTTGTGTCTTTTTTGCTGCAATAAACCATAATCATGAGTTGAACCTGAGAGCAGTCTTGGAGATGTGGGAACCTGGACTTAAAAGTGAGAGTGTTCTTGGGGACCGTACCAAGTTAAATAATGTCCCGTAAAAATTCATGTCCACTTAGAACCTGTGAATATGGCCTTATTTGGTAATAAGGTATTGGGAAATACAATCAAGTCAAAATGAAGGAAACCTAAATCCAATGTTATTGATGACCTCATAAGAAGAGGGAAATTTTGACACAAAGATGCAAACACACAGGAATAATGCCATGTAAAAATGGAGGCAAAGACTGTAAGGATGCATTGACAAGCCCAGAAACTCCTAGGATTGCCTGTGATCACAAGAAACTAGGATAAGGCTGGGAAGCATAATTCTCTAGAGCCTACAGAAAGAGAATAGGGCTGCTGACACCTTAATTTTGCACTGATGGCCTCCAAAACTGGGAAAGAAGAAATTTCTTTTAAACCATCCAATTTGTGGTTATTTATTATGATAGCACTAGAAAACTAATATGAATCCCACATTTTGCAAAATTCTGTAAGGATTTTTGTAGAAACTGACTGATTCTAAAATATTTATGAAAAACAAATAACCTAGAATAACCCAAACAGTTTTGCAAAGGAAGACCACAGCTAGGAGAGTTATACCACTTTACTTGAAAGTATACCATAAAGCTACTTTTATCAAGACAGAATAGTATTAACATAGAGATATACATTTAGATCAATGGGACAGAACAGAATTCATGAAAAGACCCACAGATATATAATCAATTGATTTTTTTCAGCATGTTACCAAAAAAAGGTGGGGGAGAAGAGAGATAGTATTTTAACTTATAGCTCTGGAAAAACATAACAATTAGAGGGAAAAATGAATATCAATTCATTTTTTTTTTTTTTCCAGACAGAATCTCGCTCTGTCACCCAGGCTGGAGTGCAATGGCATAATCTCGGCTCGCTGCAAACTGTGCCTCCAGGGTCCATGCGATTCTCCTGCCTCAGCCTCTTGAGTAGCTGGGATTACAGATGCGCACCATCATGCCTGGCTCATTTTTGTATTTTTAGCAGAGTCGGAGTTTCACTATGTTGGTCAGGCTGGTCTCAAACTCCTGACCTCGTGATCCACCCACCTCGGCTTCTCAAAATGCTGGGGATTATAGGCGTGAGCTACCGTGCCCAGCCGTATCAATTCCTAAATAATAAACATTTACTTGACATGAATTATATATCTAAAAGTAAACTGTTAACTTATAAAACTTATGGTGAGCATAATACATAGGAGAAAATCTATGTGTCCCTAGTAGGAAAAAATACAATACAAACACATGTAAAAATAAATAGAAATGTAAAAACTGATTTTATAAGAATTGAAAACATCTACTCTTTGACTGACATCTTTTAAAACAAAAAGAAAAATCAGAAAAAAACAACTCAGTTCATGTATTTGGCAGGTTGATTTCTATCCAGAATATGCACATAATCTTTATATCACAATAATAAGATAACAAAAATTTTTTAAAATATAAATGTGTAAACTTTAATATGAAATTTCATGAAATAAATCATATGCTATATATGAATTGCTAATAAGCACATATAAAAGTGCTAAGCATTTTTTGTAATAAAAATGCAAATTAACATTGCAGTGTGATACACTATACATCTATCAGAATGTCTGAAATTATTATTATTTTTTTCTCATCCTATTTTATGGTGTGTAAAATGTCTGAAATTAAAGAGTGATAGGGTTGTCAAGGATATGGGGAAACCACAACACTCAGACTTTGCAGGTGGTAATCTAAAGTGATACATCCACTGTAAAAACTGTTTCTCATCAATTAACACATACACTAACTATATTCCCAGTCATTCTACTGTGATGTGCATGCACAAGTCTGCCCATGGATGTTCATAGCAGCTTCATTTATAATAGCCTCAAACTGGAAAGAAACCAAATGTCTATCACCAGGGAAATGGACAAACACAATGTTGCATGAACATACATTGTAATGCTAATCAGCAGTAAAAAAAAAAAAAAAAAAAAAAACTACCGCATTTTTGCAACTTAGATGAATCTCAAAAAATAATTTTCCTGAGTCAAAGAAGCCAAAAAAGTACACAGTGTGTGACCCCATTTTTATAAGATGCTAGAAAATGTAAACACATCTATAATTAACAAAGCCCATCAAGGTTTGCTTGGAGTAGAAGTTGTGGGTGGGATAGACTGCAAAGAAACATAAGCAAACTTTTGGTTGTGGTAGTGGTGTCGGGTGTAAATAGATGTTAAAGTCTATTAAATTGTACACTTTAAGTGGGTGCAATTTGTTATACATAAACTATATCTCAATAAAGCTTCTCTTTCCTAAAAAAAAGTGCCTAGTCAAAGCTTTCATTTATTAATTCTTACTTAGGAATAACAAAAGTTTTCCAGGTAAATTAGACTATAGTTATCTAAACTGGTAGCCAGAAAGCAATCAAAGTCTTATAATTCTACATAACAGAAAATGGCTTTTTAAATTTTAAAATGGAATATTTTTAAAGAAGTTATCATCAATTGCCTGGCTCTATTATCTGAAATTCATTATGAGGTATAGATTTGTTTTATACCTGTGTTACACCACGTTTACAGATAAATTATTTATATAGTTTGGGCAGGGAAACCTCTTACTTAAGATACATAAAATGGATTAAAGAAATTTATGACAAAATGTGGTTACTCTTCTCAGTTTTTAATATTCCACCAGACCAATTTGGATTTCCTGCTGGGTAGACTTACTCATAATTAAGCCCAGACCCTGATTCTTTGGGATGAAGAGTTGCAGCCTCATTCATATTTAATACTAACAGATTTCTTAGGCTACGGCAAGTGTACTAAAGAGGAATGAGTGGAACCTTAAGACACAGGATTGGGATATACAGACATACACAGAAGAGGTTGAGAAATTTGAACAAACAGATTCTCAAAATTCTCTTGCTTTAGAGACAGCTTAATGCCTTCTCCTCCAAGAAAGTCAACCTTAATATGCGTACAAAGAAATAAAGAAAGAAAAAAATAGTGAAAGAAAGAAAGAAAAAAAACAATGACAAACACTTTTATTGACTGCCCTTGGGTAATTTATAATTTTTCTCAGGACAAATCCTCATGGTGCGTCATTGCCTGGGCTTTTAAGAAGAGCTAGAGCTCTTCTTTTTTTTTTTTTTTATCTTTTATTTTCTTTTCCTTACGATTTTCTTAATAACATTGTCTTTTCCCTAGCTTACTTTATCATAAGAATATAACATACAATCCATGTAACTTATGAAATATGTGTTAACCAACTGTTCATGTTTTCAGTAAGGCTTCTGATCAGCAAAAGTGTTACAGGTTTTTCTTATCATTTATTGGTAGAAGGCTGAGGAGAATGTATGAAATTCCTAGGATGTTTTAAGAAGAATGAAATACAACGCTCGATGGGGCCAAATACCATTATAGTTACCCTCACTCTGCATTCAGGGTTTAATGCCACAGCCTAAAAAGATGGAAGTGTTGGCTGGGCACTGTGGCTCACGCCTGTAATCCCAGCACTTTGGGAGGCCAAGGCAGGTGGATCACGAGGTCAGGAGATCAAGACCATTCTGGCCAACATGGTGAAACCCCGGCTCTATTAAAAATACAAAAATTAGCTGGATGTGGTGGCATATGCCTGTAATCCTAGCTACTCGGGAGGCTGAGGCAGGAGAATCACTTGAACCAGGGAGTCAGAGGTTGCAGTGAGCTGGGATCGCGCCACTGCACTCTAGCCTGGCGACAGAGAGACTCTATCTCAAAAAAAAAAAAAAAAAAAAAGATAGAAGTGTTGTTTATAGTCTACTAGATTGGCTAATCAAATTCTGGACTTAAATGACTTTGTATTAATGAAATTGAAATACCAGCACTCTTCTGGTAAACAGTGAAGTTGCAAGTCTCTGAGAATGACCATATAGCAATGGATCTATTTTGTCAACTTGTTCAGTGACTTTTTATCCATGCCCGGGAGGACCTGGAGTCTATTACTTACATAAGACATTGCAAGTGTATTAGTAAGAGGGCATTAGTATCCTCAAAAACTCTACGGTGCTTGTCCTTTGTAGGCAGGAGTTAATGGTGATGAATGCTGTTATTAAGTAGTTTTTCCTAATTTCAAAGGAAATAATGAAATTCAGAAACTGTAGAGGCCAAGGGGTAGCAATTAACTGTTTGAAAAAAATCAGGTGCAGTGATCACAATAGGCCTCAGAAACACACTAGTAATGAGAGTATCTTATCATGCAGATATTGGAGACCTCTAACTAATCACTGGATCATAATAAATGGAAACAGCTTAGTCATTTACTAAGATGATATACAGAGGAGAGAAATTTTAGATTTTGTGTGAAGGCCCCATTCTTTGAGGAAGCCCAAATAGCCCTGTAAAAGGCTATGGCTGAGTTCCCAGTCACAGTAGCCTTAATCTGTCAGTAATGTGAGTTAATCACCTTAAAACTGGATCCCTCTGCCCCAGTTGAGTCACTCTGTCTCATGTCTTATGAGTCAGACAACATTTTCCACCCCCTGAGATTGTTCCAGATTCATGAGCAAAGTAAATTATTTTTGCTATTTTGTCATTAAGTTTTGGAGTAGCTTTTAATACAATAATAAATTATTAGAGCAGGCATATTGGAATTTTCCTCCATACTGAGATATAAGCTGCTATTCCTTGCACTGCCCACTGCAAGATAAAATGGCATAACCTCTGGTGAAACTCTTAGAATTTTAGAGATAACCTGTACGACATGGGGCTACACTGCATCAACCTATTTTGAGAAGTATGTCATGGTTTCCTACTAAGCACTCATAAGAACTAATGTCTAACCTTGAACCCTAGGTGACTGTGACTTTACCTGCTCATCATGAGCTTGCTAATATAGTATCTACCGCATAATAAGTTTGGACAGGAGTCTGCATAATAAGTATGCACCAAGAGTCCATTGTTAAATGGAAATGGTATGTGTGAGACTCATTCTATGCATCTTGTTCAATCTTTATGTGAAGCCTCATGATGAGTGCTCCATGAGCTAATAAATGAAGAACAAAAAGCATGGACCTGAATTAAGAATCGGTTTGCCCAGCATACTGCCCCAAATGCATGTGAGTACTTCCTTTGTCATAGCCCTATACAGAGGTGACCCTAAAGACAAGGTAAAGTGAAATCTTCCAAAAGGGCAGAAACATCTGCCTTGTAGACAGTACATTAGGTTGTCCACACTGCATGGAAAGGAATAAGGTCTGAGGTTTGTATTTTAACACATGGACAGTGATTGATGGCACAGATGCCTGAACAAGAGCTTGGATAGAACAAAATTATTTAATTGGTAACATAGACTCCTAGGGGAATGGTGCAAAGGGTAATTGATTCTGATTATTTTGGAGGAACTTAACTTGGTATTACAAAATGGGGACAAGAAAAGATATTTCTGGAAATCAGGGCATTCAATGAAATAACATTTAGTTCTCTCCCTTAATTAAAGCCTTGCAGCTATTCAGGGAACCCTTACTTAAGGAAAATGGATGAGGCTGGGCGCAGTGGCTCACTCCTGTAATCCCAGCACTTTGGGAGGCCAAGGTGGGTGGATCACTTGAGACCAGGAGTTTGAGAGCAGCCTAGCCAACAAGGCGAAATCCTGTCTCTACTAAAAATACAAAAATTAGCTCTGTGTCATGGCGTGTGCCTGTAATCCCAGCTACTCAGGAGGCTGAGGCAGAGAATTGCTTGAACCTGGGAGACAGAGGCTTCAGTGAGCTGACATCCCAGCACTGCACTTCAGGCTGAGCAATGAAGCAAGACTCCATCCAGAAAAAAAAAAGAAAGAAAAGAAAAAAGAAAAATGGGTGAATCTCAGTAACAACAGCAAGCATTGTGGCGTTCTAAGTGGCCCTCTTTTTATCTCCTTTTTCCCTCTTCATTGTAGCCTTAAAAACCAACAGTCTGCAAACAACTGAATAATAGCTACTGAAGAGGGGTAAGAAGTTGGGCCTCCTGAACTTACCTGTTCCCAGAGAACCATCATTGTTCAACGAGTCTGCCATATCCCCACACCCATCTTCAAAGTAGTCTTTATTATGTATGACTTGAAGCTTACCTAATGAGAATAAACTTTTCCAATGGTGCATTTTCAAGAACAATCAAAGGAAATAGTTTAAGACTGTGAGTGCCCAAGGAAGGAAATGATGGTTGGAGACAACAAGAGGTTAAAGGAAACACTTAAAATAAAAATCAAAAATCTGGTGAAATGAGATGTCTGTAGAGAACTTCAGAATGCTCCAACATATTCTTGGAAATCTAAAATGCTGTATGCATACTTAGGGCTGTACCCAGACCTGTGTGTATGCACAGGGTAGAGCTGAGAAGGCCCTAAGCTCTTGCTGACAAACCTTAGCGCTCGTTGCAAGCAGAAAGTGAAGGCTAAGTAAGACAAAGATGTAAACTGTCACCTGAGTACTGAAGGTATGCATCAATGTGCCCAGAGACCCACTCAGCAAAGACTGAGAGACTTCTTGGTTTCTGGAATTTAAGGAAAGTCTATCCACTTAGTCTAACCACTAAGCTAGACAAGCAATGACTTCAATAATCAAGTAGGACAAAGAATCCACACTTTACAGAATTATTTTATAGAAGTCACTAAACAACACCAATAAATAGCAACAAAAACAAGCCCTGGGGTGGGAGAGCCTCTGTTTTCCAGAGTTGCCACAATATGTCTGTTAAAATGTCAAATTTTCTAACAAAATTTAAGAGACACTCAAAGAAAAATGAAGATGTGACTCATAGCTACAGATGTAGGGGGCAGTTAATAGAAACTATTCTCAAGAAGTTTAGATATTAAAATGACTACACAAAAACTTTAAAATCAGCTATTTGAGTATATTCAAGAAACTGAAGGAAACTTTGTTCAAATAACTAAAGGAAAGCATAAGAACAATGCCTCACCAAACAGAGAATATCAATAAAAATGTATACATAAAAAAATCAAGTCAAAATTCTGTACTTGAAACTTACAAAAACTTCCATGAAAAGTTCAGTAGAAGAACTCAACTGCATATTTGAGACAGAAGAAAGAAATCATAAAATTGAAGCTTAGTCCATTAAGATTATGTAGTCTGAGGAAGACAGAGAATAAAGAAACGATAAAGAAAAATGAACAAAGTCTTAGGGACCTGTGTAATTCAACAAGCATACCATCATATGCATGATGGGGTGCCAGAGGAGAGTAGAAACACACAAATTTTTGATTTAAAAAAATTAATCTATACATCCAAGAACCTCAACAAACTCCAAATAGGATGAACTCAAACAGACCCACACGTGACACATCAAAA
This sequence comes from Homo sapiens, assembly GCF_000001405.40. NCBI lineage: Eukaryota > Metazoa > Chordata > Mammalia > Primates > Hominidae > Homo > Homo sapiens. The sequence continues at coordinate 21,677,534 of NC_000005.10, read as the reverse complement.
TGACACTATTAAAAGGCAAAGAAAAAATCTTGAGGGTAGCAAGAGAGAAGTAGCTCATCACATACACAAAAACCCTCAATAGGATTAATAGGTAATTTCTTAGAAGACACTCTGGAGGCCTAAGTCAGTGAAAGGACATATTCAAGAGCTAGAAGAAAAAAAGTCAACCAAAGACTCTATAACCAGCAAAATTACCCTTCAGAAATGAAGAAGCATTTTAATACAGTCTTATATAAGCAATTAAGAAGTAACTTGTTACTAAGCAGACCTGCTCTATAAGAAATATGAAAGGAAGTCCTTCAGGCTGAATAGAAAGGACATTAGAGAGTAACCCAAATGTACAGAAAGATAGAAAGAGCACTGGTGAAAGTAGCTACATAGGTAAATATAAAATATATAAATATATTTTTTATTTCTATCTTTTTTCTCTTTTCTGATATAAAAAGGCAACTCTTTAAATAAATAATTATAAATCCGTGTTGATGAGAATACAATCTATAAGGAAGTAATTTGTATAATAATAGCACAAAATGAAAGGAGAAAATGGAGTAAATGTTTTGTATAATATTGAAAATAAATTAGTACTACTCTGTATTATACTGATATAAAGTAAAGGAATAATGATAATTCCCACGACAATCACTGGGGGAACAATATCAATAGGTATTTATAGATAGATAGATATGGGTAGGTAGATATAAAATTAATGATTAGGAAATGTAAGTAATTACATTGAGATATAACTTCACACACAATAAGATGGGTATTAAAACAAAGACATGCAATAACCAATATTGAAGGGCATGTGGATAAATTGAAACTTCATACATTGCTGATGGGAATGTAAAATGGTGCAGCTTCTTTGGAAAACAGTTTGATAGTCCATCAAAATATTAAGCCTAGAGTTATCATATGACACAGCAATTCCACTGTTAGGAGTGGAACCCAAGGGAAATGAAAATGAAGGACTGCATGAAAACATACACATGCATGTACATAGTAGCATTACTCACAATAACTGAAAAATAGAAACAACTGAGGCTGTATTCAATTTATTTTCTGAGTCCACGAACAAGTTCAGTGCTTTGAGGAGAGAGTAATTGTAGGAATGGTAGGGTTTGAATATGTTTCCACTTCAAAATTCATTGAAACTTGAATTCCCAATGTAATAATATTAAGAGGTAGGCCCTTTAGGAGGCAAATAGGCCATGAGGGTGAAGCCCTCATGAATAAGATTAATGTCACATGTAAAGACTGGAGGGAACTAGCTAAGCCCTTTTGCCCTTCCATCTCTGTCGTGTGATAACATAGTGTTTGTCCCCTCTGGAGGACCCAGCAACAACGTACCAACTTGGAAACAGAGATCAGGTCCTCATCAGACACAAAACTTGCTAGTGCCTTAATCTTCCATTTGCAGTCTCCAGAACTGTAAGATAGAAATGTGTCCTTTGAGAATTACCCAGCTTCAGGTATTTTGTTATAGCAGCTGGAATGGATTAAGACAATAACACCCAGCTACTCGGGAGGCTGAGGCAGGAGAATCACTTGAACCAGGGAGGCAGAGGTTGCATTGAGCTGAGATTGCACCACTGCACTCCAACCTGGGCAACAGAAAGAGACTCTGCCTCAAAAAAAAAAAAAAAAAAAAAGAACAAAGTTGCAAATGCTATTTTCATAATTAGTCTTATGAACACACAGTATAGTCTGTGCTCATTAGGATTTTTTATTTTAAAATATGTAATTGACAAAGATTGTATATGTTTAAGGTGTGCAACATGATAATTCGATATACATATACTTTGTGTAATGTTTATCACAAACACATTGATCACCAATCATGCTGTATATTACAACCTCAGAATTTGTTTTGCTTCCATAGTGTTTTTCATAATGGCTGGACTAGTTTACACTGTCATCAACGGTGTACAAGGATTACGTTTTCTCCGTACCCTCACCAACACTTGTAATCACATGTCTTTTTTATAATAGCCCTCCTACCAGGTGTGAGATGATACCTCATTGTGATTTGATTTGCATTTCTCTGAATATTAGTGATGTTGAGCATCTTTACACTTACATATTGACCATTCGCATGTCTTCTCTGGAAAAATGTCTATTCCTGTTATTTGCCCATTTTTTAATTGGGAAAATTATTTGTGATTTTTTCTTTCTTTTACTTTTTATTTTGTTATGTTTTTACTATCGAATTGTGTATATATTATAGATTATATATTTTGAATATTACCTCTTTAACAGAGAGATGGTTTGCAAATATTTTCTCTCATTTTATAGATTGACAGGCTGTGCTCTTTGATTCCCAGGTGAACAACTATTATCTAGAATGGTAGATTTGAACATTGCTTCTACTTATTTTGGGGAAAGAGAGCTTCCTGCTCTCCCTTGGCCTCTGGTGCACCAGCTGCTATATGCCATGAATCAGGACTGGAGCAACAAGCAGAATAAAATTTGTCTTTGAGTGTATCTGAAACATCCTCTGCAGATGTCCAGAAATCTCTTAGGGATGATTTGCAGAGAACCAAAATACATTTGTCAAGAAGTAGGGCTGACACATCAGCAGAATGTAAAAGTTATAAAATGCAGCCATGTATACCTAAGGATTTGAAGTATGTTTAAAATACATAGGAAAAAAAATCAGGCCAGGGGAGCTGGCTCACACCTGTAATCCCAACACTTTGGGAGGCTGAGGCAAGTGAATCCCTTGAGCCCAGGAGTTCGAGACCGGCCTGGGTAACATGGTAAAACCCCATCTTTACAGAAAATACCCACCCTCACACACACACACACAAAAATTAGCTGGCATGGTGGTGTGTGTCTGTATTCCTAGTCCCAGCTGAGGTAGGAGGATCACTTGAGCTGGGGAGGTCAAGGCTGCAGTGAGCCATGATCGTGCCATTGCACTCCAGACTGGGTGACAGAGTGAGACCCTATCTCAAAAAGAAAAGAAAAGAGAGAGAGAGAAAAAAAAGTTCACTATGATATGATGTCTCCAATGCTGACCTCAACTTGTCAAACAACATAATAATCCAAAGAGTAAACAAATGTGTTGTTCTATTTTGTAGTTACTCAATATATTCAGTCTGTTAAGAGAACACATGTGAGAGAAGTCCTCCTATTATTGTAAGTATTAAAATAGGCCCCTAACATGGAAGCTTTGTCTATATTCTGACTTTAAGTTAGGATCTATCATAAAGACATTGTAAATGTATCACAGATGCACATACTAAATGACTGAATAAGATGAATGCTTCATACATATTTATGGACAAACCCCAAAAACCTTTTGAAATTTTTCCATATCTGGAGTTAAAACAAAAACCTCAAAAAACTGTTATTCCTAAAAGCAAATTCAATGGTTACTAAAATATATCATAGTTGACTAAAATTACTGCTTGAAAGTCACCTTATGGTTTTATCTCAAGATAGACACAAAGAGCTAAGTACTTATTTCTTTTTCTTATAAAATCATGAAACTCTATCATCACTTTATTTATAATGATTTTCTGAGAGTAAAAGGCAGAAAGGAAATTGCACTATATTACCCTAATATCAGTGTTCAGGGACACTGAGAAATTTTAATAGTTATAAACAAAATTTTAGAATTAAAGAGATCAGAGGGAGCAAAGTGTTTTATACTCAACCTTATACCTCTCATTTCAAGTACCTCAGAAAATAAAACTATCTTGGAAGCGGCTATAAAATGTGAATTTTAGAAGGCATTGACACAAAATTTTATTTTTAATTTACTTAATTCAAGCAAAAATTCTCTTGCAAAAATTCAAGCAAAAAGTCTCTTCATCTATATCACCTCTTCAGTAGGTGATTAAGAAATCTAACATATATTTCACTCCTTTATAATGTTCTCATTTGCTTTATGGTTGATTATTCAAATATTTTGTCTTCTATTTATATTAAACATATTTTGATATAGTGAACATATATTTTGCTATTAAAATAGTCAATATGGTTTTAATATGAAATGTGGTAAATAAAAACAAAGGCTTTCAGCTAAATTATACATCAACCTTCAGCAATTGTTCTTAAGTAATCTATTTAGTAATGATACATAATTTAAGCTCAACTTCATTTAATCTATTTTTTCCCCAAAAACCTTCAGGAGGTCTTCAATGCTTACTATGTTAGGGACAAAGTCCTTAGGTAGGCATTTTATTTCTTCTACATTTTTCTTTCTTACTCTTTTTCTTCCTCTGTCATTCTCTCTGTACTAAGCTTTCTTGCTTGCATTTAGCTATTTTTCAAGTTTTCTCTTCCACATTAATCTCTTGTTTTGAGAAGACACATTTCAAACTTATCATAAATGTCATCTGTTTTATATATTCTATATATGAATTCCTGATTATATGACTAATATGTGCTCATTGTAAGCAATGTTAAATATTGTCATAAATGTCATCTGTTTTACATATTCTATATATAAATTCCTGATTATATGACTAATATGTGCTCATTGTAAGCAAAGTTAAATGTTCATACAAAATGAACAGGACAATCTATCATAACGTCATAATGTCAGAGAGATATAATAATTTTCTGACAGCTGAAAGGGCAAAAGAATAACATGCTATTTTGGTTTGTAATTGCTGCTATAACAAATTATTATAATATTTCTTGCTTAAAACAACAAATAAGGATTATCATACAGTTCTGGGGGTCAGAAATACAAAAATCCAAGAGGTCTTATGGGCTAAAATCAAGATGCTGGCAGGGTTGTCTTCCTTCTGGAAGCTCTAAGGAAGTAATACTTTTCCTTGCTTTTCACACATCTAGAGGCTGCCTGTGTTCCTTGGCCTGTGTCCTCTTTACATCTTCAAAGGCAGCAATCTCACTGCTTTACCTAAAGCTATGATCATAGCATCTCCTCTCTGACTCTGATTTTCCTGCTCCTCTCTTCCATCTTTTAAGGGCCTTTCTTACCTTGGGACCAGTGAGGTAATCCAGGATGACCTCCCAGTCTGGAATGTCCTTCTGCAAAATTCCTTTTGAATGTAAGGTAATATATACACAGTTTCCAGAGAGTAGGATGTGTGTATCATTAAAGACCACTATTCTGCTTACATTATGCACTAAAATGTAGCCCATGGAATTAATATAATTAGCAAAGAGCTGACAATGGAGCCTCTAATCAAATTAATTTTTGTTTTGATTGTGTTTTTAAGTCAATATTTGTTGATTTCTGTCATCTGCAGCAAAGAATCTCAACTGATTGGAGTGCTTCTTAGCCTGATATAGAATCCCATTCTTTATCCCTAATTTTTTTGTACAATTGTGTACACACCAATGTTGTATCAGTGGTGCTTAGAGAATAAAAATAAGGAGAGCTTGTAAACAATCATATGGGGAGTGGTATATAGCCAACAAGGGTGGTGATGAACAGATGTGATTAAGATTTAGGGAATAGGCCCGGTGCAGTGGCTCACACCTGTAATCCCAGCACTTTGGGAGACCGAGGAGGGTGGATCACCTCAGATCAGGAGTTTGAGACAAGCCTGGCCAATATGGTGAAACTCTGTCTCTACTAGAAATACAAAAATTAACCAGGTATGGTGACGGGCACCTGTAGTCCCAGCTATCTGGGAGGCTGAGGCATGAGAATCACTTGAACCCGGGAGGCAGAGGTGGCAGTGAGCTGAGATCGCCCCACTGCACTCCAGCCTGGGTGACAAGAGCGAAACTGCATCGCAAAACCAAACCAAAACAAAACAAAAAACAAGAAAGGGAAGAAGGAGGAATGGAGGGAGGGAGGAAGGGAGGGAGAGAGGAAGGAAGAAAAAGAGAGAAAGAGGAAGGGAGGAAGAAGAAAGATTAGGATCAAACCTTAGATCAAGAATTCTTAAAACTATTTGGTAAAAAATAGAACTCCCTGCATAAATACTTGTGGCTTGGATTGTAGTTGTTTCTCCTGCCTTCCTCTCTTTCACTCTCTCTCTCAATGTCATCTATCTATCTTTTTATCTAGTATCTGTCTCTCGTGTATATATTTATACACACAGAGACACATCTTCTTATTCAGAAATAAGACCATTCAGAAACATTCAAAGAGAAGTTTATCTGCTGCAAGTTTTCTCAAAAATACACACAAGCACAAGTGCATAAAATTTCTTCTGCCTAAAAAGCAGTAATATTAATTTGCTGCTTGAGAAAGAAAAACGTGAAAATGAGAATAAGAACATCTTTTTAAAGAAAGGATTCAATTTTAATTAAAGAATAGCTATAAAGCTATTCACTTATATGTAAAACTGTTATTTATTCATACACTGTGCTGTCAAGGAAAACAGAATTTATGGCTAGTAAAATAAATAAACAATTCTACTTGGCTCTCAAGATGAAGTAAAGGTTTTACTTGTAATATTAGTATACATTTGACCTTGTAATATTCAAATTATTTTGACCAGGTAATATTACATGGTCGCATTTTATTATAATTTGACCATCTTTTTTTTTCTAGAATAACAGGTGAAAGCATTCTTTCTTGTGTTTTCTTACCATACAATGGAAAGAAATAAACACTACTGCTATAGAACTATTTTTAATATAGATAATGTTGCCTATTAAAATTATAAATATATATGTATAGATATCAATATTTGTGAAATATGACTTGTATAATTTAAAAAAATAGTAGAAGAAAACAGTGCTGGCCAGGTGCGGTGGCTCATGCCTATAATCCCAGCATTTTGGGAGGCTGAGGCAGGCATATCACTTGAGGTCAGGAGTTCGAGAACAGCCTGATAAACATGGTGAAACTCCATCTCCACAAAAAATACAGAGGCAGAGGTTGCAGTGAGCTGAGATTGTGCCACTGCACTCCAGCCTGGGTGACTGAGCAAGTCTTTGTCCCAAAAAAGCAAAATAAAACAGGGCTGATGTAAGAGTTAATGATAATTCTTAACTACCTCCCACACAAATGAGCTTCTAAGGACTTTACTATTGAATTTGTCATGTCTTTTTGCCTTGTGTTGAAAGTTACATATATAGCATCACCATATACAGCGTATTGTTACTGTATTCCTACACTTTCCTATTTATATGTTTAAGTTGTTTATGTGTTTTGAAAATTTAGCATAACACAAATTCGAGTTATTATTTGTGCATGTGAATTTGTGTCTAAATATGTATTTGGTAGTGTTTTCTAGCAGTGATGTGGTTTCATGCACTGTATTGCAGGAATCTTTTTCAGGAGCAAGAGTGAAGGAAGCAAGACAGGCACAGTGAATAGGTACACGCTGAGAGAGAATATAGTCTCAGAGAACTCAGCCTTGGCTTCATTCACAGGAGAATCTGGAACATAAATCTCACCAAAAAGTTGCCTTCACTTTGAGGCATTGTGGCCAGACTTTTGTATTTCCATATAATTAAATATTGAAAGCAGTATGCCTGTGGCATGGGAAGGAGCTCTCCTGGGTAAGGAAGCTCTTTTCAACCAAGGATTGTGGTCCTAATGAAGGGGATGGTTGTGAGCCTATTAGCAGCCAGCACTAACAGCAGCTGCAGAGTGAGTAAGTTACCAGAAGGCATTGGCTTCAGCTCACCCATCACCCCACTGAAAATCACTTTGTTCTCAATTTATGTTCACTGGATCCAGACACAGCTACTCCAGGATTCTAAATCACCACAATTCCTAGGAAGAGTTAAAAGTGGAAGGTTAATGCGATGAACCACAGCCCCTAATGCTGCAGTCAGTCCTGAGGACTGACCTGATACTCATCTCCCTTCTCTACCACAGTTAAATGACACTGATCTTTGCTAGCACTTCTGTTGGTCTAGGTGGCTTGTGGGTGAAGATTCATAGATACTATGGCCTATCTACCATCTACTATCATAGATTCCTGGATACTGTGACCTTATTAAGTTGTGGTTGTTCCACTTTCATATTGAGAATAAGAACTGAGCATGGGATTATCAAGAAACCCTGCAGTAGACCACCTGATTGCCAAACACTGTCCATCTTATGTAGCAGCCATCACCTGCCAGGTAAGAGGCAGAGACTGCTGTGAGCCGAGATTGTGCCACTGCACTCCAGCCTAAGTGACCACATTCCTGTCCATCTTATGTAGCAGCCATCTTACCTGCCAGGACCAATTACCCTGGCTGTTTTACTAATTCCTTTTTATGCCTGCTAGGTCATTGGCATGAAGAGTTCAAGGAGAACACTTGGCAACTGTAGCTTTAAGTATAATGAGATTCTTATTGTGTTCCCTGCTGGAAAGTGAAGCATAAATTCTGCATGTAGAAATGATGGAGAGCAGTGCCTGGCTACCTCCACTCCTGGATCCTGAATCCACACATTCTACCTGCTGGAGACAGCACCTCATAACCATCGTTTTAGGACTGTATAGAAGCATGAAGCATAGCTTCCCATTAAATGTGGATATGAGTAATGTGCATATGATGGAATCCATGTATCTGCATCCTTAAAGTCTTTGACAGTGGCACTAAGTTCTGCTATTCCTCTGGGATGAAATATTGTTTCTAATTTGTTCTCTTGGCCAGGGGCTATAATGGCCCGGTGTGAAAATTTCAGGGACTTCCATTTGGCCTTTGCTATGACAATCACTCTTACTCGAAAGATCAAGGAATCAATGTGAAGAATAGATTAACTGCTAAACATACCCGTTTTGATTTTATTTTCAGTCAGAAAAATAACCACTGTGTTAGTTCCTGGCCTCAGTGAACTGTGCTGAGATGGACCTGAATCAAGACTCCGTGAATTAGCTGAGTCCATATGTCACCCCACTAAGCGAAAGGTCACGGTGGTGATTGGGGTTTCAGGATAAATTCAGAACACATGAGTAGTAGTCCCTATTATAAATTTTGCATGTTGCTTTTTTTATAGAGTATTGTTATTTGAGCAAATGATTGTGATGCTTTTGGAGAGACTGGGAAAATATCTAGTGCATATATTCGCCAGGCTATTACAATGGCCTTCTCTGAGAAACAGCTGCTCCTTCAGTAGTAGAAAGGATGATGCTCAAATGGTTTTATTGTTTTTGTTGTGGTGTTTAAAAGGAGCAACATATACACAACACACACACACTCACACAAGTGCACAAAACTTATTACCTCAAATCTTTATTAAAATGTTGCAATATGAGAAAAGCTCTAATTAGAACTCTAATCTGAAAAGTGGAAGGGAATTTAAAGATTTTTATACTGATTGGGATAATCACTGAAATTCAGGGTATTCCAGGAATAGCTCACAAATCTCATTATGCCAACACTAACTTTACAGTAATTGTCCAGAAGTCAAACCTATTTTTCAAATGTAAAATCTTTATTTGTTTTAAATCACAACATACTTATTTATACTTTAAACTGGCCAATGATTATTTACTTCTCACTTCTTACACACCAAAATTTTTTAGGCACAAGGAAGAAAGGGAAAAACAAACAAACATTTCTTTTTTTTTTTTTTTTTTTGAGATGGAGTCTCACTCTGTCACCCAGGCTGGAGTGCAGTGGCGTAAATCATAGCTCATTGCAACCTTAAACTCCTGATTTCAGGTGATCCTCCTCCCTCAGCTTCGTGAGTTGCTGGGTCTACAGGCACCTGCCACCACATTTGACTAATTGTTTTTCTTCTTTGAGAGACAGAGTCTCACTTCATTGCCTAGGGTGGTCTTGTACTCCTAGGCTCAAGTAATCCTCCCAAAGTACTAGCATTACAGGTATTAACCACTGCACCCAGCACCAAATTCTTGACCTAGAACAGTTTAATCAATATATTATATTCTTTGTGGATCCAGATGTATTATATTGAACTTATAAAAGTATCATTGCCAATTAATTTCAACAAATACTAACATAGTAGTTATATAATGTAAATTCAAAGACTATACAAGGCCAGGAAAAGAATCAGTGAACTTAAAAATAGGTCAATATAGACTTTGCATATCAAAATACAAAAAAAAACTAAAAAATACAGAACACAAAATCCAAGAATGGGACAATTTCAAAAGGTCAGCATATATGTAATAGAATGCCAGAAGGAGAAAAAAAAGCAAATGGACAAAGAGAAATATTTGAAATTATAGTGGCTTAAAATTTCCAAAATTAATGACACTCACCAAGCCACAGGTCCAGGAAACTCACAACACCAAGATAAAAACAAACAAAAAAATTTTGAAAATAAAATAAAATAAAAATACCTAGACATATCATAATCAAACTACAGAAAACCAATGACAAAAAGAAAATCTTTTTAAAAATGGAGATTCAGGACAGCTTACCTACACAGGAAAAAGGACAGGAGTTAATGTGGACTTCTCATCGGAATCACATTAGCAAGAAAAGAATACAGTAAAATATTTTAAGATGTGAGAAAAAAACCAAAACACTAATCAAGAATTCTATTTCTGGGCCAGGCGCGGTGGCTTACGCCTGTAATCTCAGCATTTTGGGAGGCCGAGGCGGGCGGCTCATGAGGTCAGGAGATCGAGACCATCCTGGCTAACACGGTGAAACCCCGTCTCTACTAAAAATACAAAAAAATTAGCCGGGCGTGGTGGCGGGAGCCTGTAGTCCCAGCTACTAGGAGGCTGAAGCAGGAGAATAGAGTGAACCCGGGAGGCGGAGCTTGCAGTGAGCCAAGATCACGCCACTGCACTCCAGCCTGGGCGACAGAGCAAGACTCCGTCTCAAAAAAAAAAAAAAAAAAAGAAGAGTTATATCTCTGGAGAAATGTCTCTTCAAAGGAGATGAATAAATAAAGATTATCTTATATAATATAAACTGAAGTTATGCATCAGTAGCAAATCAGCCCTGCAAGATGTGCTAAAAGAAGTTTTTCAGGGAAAAGCAAAATTATATAGGTCAAAAAATTAAAAAGTCATAAGGAAAGGAAGACCACTGATTATGAAATAAATGAAAGAAAAATAAAGTGTTAATTTTTTAAATTGATCAAAAATTTAACCGATTTTAAAAATTTCATTTAATTTTAAGTTCTAAGATACATGTGCAGGACGTGCACGTTTGTTACATAGGTAAATGTGTGCCATGGTGTTTTGCTGCACCTATCAGTCCATCACCTAGGTATTAAGCCCCACATGCATTAGGTATTTATCCTGATGCTCTCCCTCCTCCTCCTATCCCCTGACATGCCCCAGTGTGTGAAAAATATAACTGATTTTTGAAATAATAATTATAACAAGGTATTGGGAAGTTACATATCGTATGGATAAGTTTTATGAGTCACAGTAATATCACAAGGCATAAGAGGGGGAATTGTGTACCTTACCTTGACATGAATGAACTGGCATAGTGTTATTTAAAAGTAGACTTATTTAAAATGTATAGTGTGAACTAAAGCAACAACTGAAAAAACTTAAATGAAGAATTAATATACTAAGAGAGGAGATAAAATGGAATTATAAAATACTCAAAATCAGAAGAGGCAGGGGAAAAAAGGCAGAAAAAAATAAAAACAAATACAAAAGATAGAAAACGGTTTCAAACATATAGATATTAAAATAACTCCATCAATAAGCACATTATATTTTAATAGTCGAGTTTCTTTCACTTTTAGAGAAGAAATGTGAGGAGCTTCATGTACTTACTTCCCGGAATAGCAACACAATTGGTGAAAATTATTATAAACAAGAAAACAATCATTTGTCTGGAAATTGTCACAAGGACATCCAGCAAATGAAAAAACATTTATTCAACAAAACTTACTAAAACTCAGTAAGAAAATATCAAGTCTGTGGAATGTGAGCCATAACACTTCCCTTCTCCACCCATCTCATTCTGATGAAGGCTTTACTCCACATGGGAGTGGCTGAAACAGGATCCCTCTTCCTTGAGCTGTTAATCAAGGAATATATTGTCTCGCCAGGAAGGAAAACCTGCCAGCATATCTCATCTATCCCAACTCCATGTTAGTGTAGTAGAGAGGTTGGGGTGTCCTTGTCCTCACAGGGCAGAGTGTCTAGCCCACGTGCAGAAGACTGAGAATATTCTGGGCCCCAGTAGTGCTCATCTCAATTCATTCACGGAGTAGAAGTTACATGTGGGGAAGAAAACCTGAGAAGACCAGAGGCCACTATTGCCTCCTGAATATTCCCAGGGTTTATTTCCAAGGTGGGTGCAGCCGATCAGAATGGAGAGCTTCAAAGCTCTTCACAAAGGAATTGACTCTATTTAAACCTAGAAGTCCAAACCATGAGAATAAGATCACAAAGGAGGCAGATGGTAGTAAATCTGTATTAAGATAAGGACATAACTGTAGGTGGTAACCTGAATGCATGGGAACAAATGAAGATGACCTGTAATGATAAAGAATAATGCTAATTGTCTTTGTCCATTTGTTTTGCTACGAAGGAATACCTGAGGCTGGGTGATTTATAAAGAAAAGATGTTTATTTGGCTCACAGGTCTGCAGGTTTTATGAGAAGCATAGAGCTGCTATCTGCATTGGGTAAAGACATCAGGCTGCTTTCACTCATGGGGGAAGGCAAACAGGAGGCAGTGTATGCAGAGATCACACCGTGAGTGAATATAAGGCTGGAGGGAGGTGCCAGCCTCTTTTTAACAACCGGCTTTCATGGGAACCAATAGAGCAGGAACTCATTCATTACTGTAAGGACTGCACCAAGCCATTCAAGAGGGATCTACCCCTTCACAGGCTTTCCATTAGGCCCCACCTCCAACATGGATTATCAGATTTCAACATATGGTTTGTGGGACAAACAACCAAACTATAGCTATAATATAACACATTGATATAGTTTGGCTCCGTGTCCCCACTCAATTCTTATCTTGAATGGCACTCCCATAATTCCTTTGCATTGTGGGAGGGACCTGGTGGGAGATAATGGAATCATGGGGGCAGTTTCTCCCATACTGTTCTCATGGTAGTGACTAAGTCTTATGAGAGCTGATTATTTGATAAGGGGAAACTCATTTCACTTGATTCTTACTCTCTATCTTTCCCGCTGACTTGCCTCTCACATTCTGCCATGATTGTGAAGCCTCCCCAGCCACATGGAACTGGGCGTCAAATTAAACCTCTTTTGTAAATTACCCAGTCTCAGGTATGTCTTTATCAGCAGTGTGAAAACAGACTAATACAGTAAATTGGTACCAGTAGAGTGGGGCATTGCTGAAAAGATATCCAAAAATGTGGAAGCAACTTTGGAACTGGGTAATAGGCAGAGGTTGGAACAATTTGGAGGGCTGAGAAGAAGACAGGAAAATTTGGGAAAGTTTGGAACTCCCTAGAGACTTACTGAATGGCTTTGACCAAAATGCTGATGATGATATGGACAATGAAATCCAGGCTGAGATGGCCTCAGATAGAGTTGAGAAACTTGTTGGGAACTGGAGCAAGGGTGAATCTTGTTATGTTTTAGCCAAGAGACTGGAGGCATTTTGCCCCTGCCCTAGAGGTGTGTGGAATTATGAACTTGAGAGAGATGATTTAGGGTATCTGGTAGAAGAAATTTCTAAGCAGCAAAGCATTCAAGAGGTGACTTCAGTGCTGTGTTAGTTTTAAAAGGGAAACACAGCATAAATATTAGGAAAATTTGTAGCCTGATGATGCAATAGAAAAGAAAATTTCATTTTCTGAGGAGAAATACAAGCTGGGTGCAGAAATTTGCAAAAGTAACGAGGAGACAAATGTTAATCCCCAAGACAATGGGGAAAATGTCTCCAGGGCAGGTCAGAGGTCTTTACCGCAGCTCCTTCCATCACAGGCCCAGAAGCCTAGGAGGAAAAAGTGGTTTTGTGGGCCCAGGGGTCCTGTACTGTGTGCAGCCTAGGGACTTGGTGCCCTGTGTCCCAGCCTCTCCAGCCATGGCTGAAAGGGGCCAACATAGAGCTGGGGAGGTGGCTTCAGAGGGTGCAAGCCTCAAGCCTTGGCAGCTTCCATGTGGTGTTGAGCCTGCCAGTGCACAGAAGTCAAGAATTAGAGTTTGGTAATCTCCTCCTAATTTCAGAGGATGTATGGAAACACCTGGATGTCCAGGCAGAAGTTTGCTGCAGGGGCGGGGCTCTCATGCAGAACCTCTGCTAGGGCAGTGCAGAAGGGAATTGTGGGCTTGGAGCCCTGACATGGAGTCCCTGCTGGGGCAATGCCTAGTGGAGCTGTGAGAAGAGGGCCACTGTCCTCCAGACCCCAGAATGGTAGATCCACTGACAGTTTCCACTGTGCTCCTGGAAAAGCCGCAGACACTCAGTGCCAACCTATGAAAGCAGCCAGGAGGGGGGCTATACCCTGCAAAGCCACAGGGTGGAGCTGTCAAGGCTGTGGGAGCCGACCTCTTGCATCAGCATGACCTGGATGTGAGACATGGAGTCCAAGGAGATGATTTTGGAGCTTTAAGATCTGACTGCCACTATGGATTTCAGAGTCACATAGGGCCAGTAGCTCCTTTGTTTTTGCCAATTTTCCCCACCTGCAATGGCTGTATCTACCCAATGCCTATACCCGCATTGTATCTAGGAAGTAACAAACTTGCTTTTGATTTTACAGGCTCATAGGTGGAAGGGACTTGCCTTGTCTCAGATTAGACTTTGGAGTGTGGACTTTTGAATTAATGCTGAAATGAGTGAAGACTTTAGGGGATCTTTGGGAAGGCATGATTGGTTTTGAAATGTGAGGACATGAGATTTGGGAGTGGCCAGGGGTGGAATGATATGGTTTGGCTCTGTCCCCATTCAAATCTCATCTTGAATTGTACTCCCATAATTCCCATGCTTTGTGAGAGGGACCCAGTGGGAGATAATTGAATCACAGGGGTGGTTTCTCCCATACTCTTTTCGTGGTAGTGAATAAGTCTCATGAGATCTGATGGTTTGATAAAGGGAAACTTGTTTCACTTGATTCTCATTCTCTGTCTTGCTTGCTGCAAGGTAAAACATGCCTTCGCCTTCCAACATGATTGTGAGGCCTCCCCAGCCACATGGAACTGTAAATTGAATTAAACCTCTTTATTTTGTAAATTACCCAGTCTCAGGTATATCTTTATCAGCAGCGTGAAAATGGATGAATACACGTATTCTATAAATATATACTTGCCTTTCTATCTCTTCTCGGCTTCATTAATTTATCAACATTTATATAACGTAATACTTTTAACAATTTATTGCTGGATCTTATATAGAAAAGCAGAAAGACCTAAGATAAATAACCTGAGCTCCTACCTTAGGAAACTGTAGACAAAAGATCAGTTTAAGGCCACAACAAAGAAAGAAATTAAAAAACATTAGAGCAGAAGTCGACGAAATTGAAAACAGACTAAAAATAAAGAAAAATCGAAGAAATCAAAACTAGCTTATTTTAAAAAATCAGTAAAATTGACAAACTCTTGTTGGGTTAAATGGAAAAAAGTGAGATGACACAAATTAACAATATCAGAAATGAAAGAGGGTTCTTCCCTATTGATCCCATGATCATGGAAAGAATTATTGTTATTGTTTTATTTCAACTTCTATTTTCAATACAGGATGTACAGGTGCAGATTTGTTATATGGGAATATTGCATGATTGTGAGGTTTGGAGTAAAGATCCTGTCACCCAGGTAGTGAGCATAGTACCCGACAGGTAGTTTTTTAACCCGTGTCCCCACCTCCCTCCATGTTTTAGTAGTCCACAGTGTCTATTGTTCCTATATTTATGTCTATGTGTGCTCAGCAGTTAGCTGCCATGTATAAGTGAGAACATACAGTATTTGGTTTTCTGTTCTCGTGTTAATTTGCTTAGGATTACAGCCTTCAGCTACATCCATGAGGCTACAAAGGACATGACTTAATTCTTTTTTATGGCTGCATAGTATTCCATGGTGTATATGTACTACATTTTCTTTATCCAACCTACTCTTGATGGGCACATGGATTGATTCCATGTCTTAGCTCTTGGGAATAACAGCACTGAACATATGAGTACATACATCTTTTGGCAGAATGACTTATCTTCTTTTGGGTAGATATCCAGTAATTGGATTGCTGGGTTAAATGGTAGCTCTGTTTTAAGTTCTTTGAGACATTTCCAAACTGCTTTCCACAGTGGCTGAACTAATTTACATTCCCACAGTGTATACGTGTTTCCTTTTTTCCATAACCTCACCAGTAATTATTGTTTTTTGACTTGTTAATTATAGACATTCTGACTGGTATGAAATTGTATCTCATTGTGGTTTTTCTGTGCATTTCTCTGATAAGTAGTGATGCTAAGCATTCTTTCATATGTATGTTGGCCACTTGTACGTCATCATTTCAGAATTGTCTGTTTATGTCCCTTGCCAATTTTTTAAAAGAGGTTATTTGATTTTTTTCCTTGTTGATTTAAGTTCTCTATAGATTCTGGATATTAGGCTTTTGTCAGATGCAAAATTTGTGAATATCTTATTTCATTCTGTAGGTTGTCTGTTTGCTCTGTTGACAATTTCTTCTGCCGTGCAAAAGCTCTTTAGCTTAATTAAGTCCCACTTGTCTATTTTTGTTTTTGTTGCATTTGGTTTTGGGGACTCAGCCAAAACTTTGCCAAGGCTGATGTTGAGAAGAATATTTCCTAGGTAATCTTAATGGTATAATATGAATGTCTCAATGCCCACAAATTAAATAATTTGTCAAATTATTTTGAAGATACATAGTTCTAAAATGTACACATAAAGGAATAAGTAAATATCATGCTTATGGCATAAATAAGGTTTTGATTTAATGGGTGTGTGTTTATCTCCAAACTCATTATGATGTACACTGTGAATATGTACAGTGTTTTGCATGTTAATCACACGTCAATAAAGTGGTTCAGAAAACAATTAAAATGTACTAACACTCAGTAGAAAAATAGGAAAAAGCCATGCATGCTCTGTTAGTTTAAAAATTAAAAAATTCAAATCTCCAATAAACATGCATCCATCTCACTACAAATTTCTAAGTGCAAAATAGGGTATCTGTTTTTAATTGTTCTTATTAAAAGAATAGCAAGCCTGATGGTATCTGGTTCTAGAAACTATTTTGGAAAATGTATATTCTTTAAACTGTATGAAATATAAATAATACATATATTCTAGACGGTATATTTTCCACATGTATCAACATGCTTAAAATTTCACATGCCATTTGACAGCAAAATTCAAATTATAAGAATTTATATTAAGAAAGTTATCTTAAATGTGAGAAAGAATACACACTAAAAATGGAGAAAACCTTAAATATGTATTTATTGGATGTATTAATGATGGAGTGTTCAGCCATTAAAAAGATGATATACCATCATATGCATTTAATTTAAAAAGATATTTTATGAATAGAAAAAAATTGAACATAATAAATGATGATAGCTGACATTTGCTGACTGCTGACATTGTGTCAAACATTTTTCAGTGTTTAACATGTATTGAATTATACCATTTCTCTCTTTCTCTCTCTCACACACACACACGTGCACACACACACACACATGCAAACACAGAGTGAGATTTTATAGAGGAGCAAATTTAACTACATTTTCCAAGGACACATAGCTAGGAGTTGTGGCTGATATACTAACTCAGGCAATTCAGCAATAGACACCATTAGAATCACTATCTTAATATGATTCTAGGTAGACCAAAGATACAGAAGGTGACCCAATTTGTATTTTTTAAATTTAAGTTTCATTTTAAGTTCAGGGGTATGTGTGGTGGTTTGTTATATAGGTAAACTTGTGTCATGAGGGTTTCTGGGTCAGATTATTTTGTCACCCAGGTATTAAGCCTAGTACTCATTAGCTATTTTTCCTGATCCTCTCCCTCCTCCTACTCTCCACCTTCTGATAGGCAGCAGTGTGCATTATTCCCCTCTGTGTAACCATGTGATCTCATTATTTAGCTCCCACTTATAAGTGAGAACATGTGATATTTACTTTTATGTTCCTAAATTAGTTTGCTAAGGATAATGGCCTCCAGTTCCATCCATGTTCTTGCAAAGGACGTGATCTCATTCTTTTTTTATGGCTGCACAGTATTCCATGGTATATGATATGGTTTGGCTGTATCCTCACTCAAATCTCCCCTTGAATTGTAATAATCCCCATATGTTAAGCGGGGGGCAGGTAGAGATAATTGAATCATGAGGGTGGTTTTCTCCATACTGTTCTCATGGTAGTGAACAAGTCTCCTGAGATCTGATGGTTTTATACAAGGGAGGAACTGCACAAGCTCTCTCTTGCCTGCCGCTATGTAAGACATGACTTTGCTCCTCATTCACCTTCTGCCACGACTGTGAGGCCTCCCCAGCCATGTAGAACTGTGAGTCAGTTAAACCTCTTTCCTTTATAAATTACCCAGCTGTGGATATGTCTTTATTAGCAGTGTGAGAACAGACTAATACAGTGTGTGTATATATGTTATATACGTAATGTATATATAATATATATAATATATAATATAATTTAATACAATATATAACATGTGTATATATACATATATGTGTGTATATATATATTTTATGTATACATATATATATAAAAAACATTTTCTTTGTCCAGGCTACTATTAAAAACTAGGCAAAGGACATGAACAGACACTTGACGAAAGAAGAAATACATGCGGCTAACAATCATATGAGAAAAAAGCTCGACATCACTGATCATTAGAAAAATGCAAATCAGAACCACAATGAGATACCATTTTAGACCTGTCCAAATAGCCATTATTAAAAGTCAAAAAAGAACAGGTGCTGGCAAGGTTGTGGTGAAAACGGAATGTTTATACACTGGTGGTGGAAGAGTAAATCAGTTTAACCATCGTGGAAGATAGCATGGCAATTCCTCAATTTGTATTTTAAAATGAAGCAACACATGTAACATATACGCTGACGTCCAAGAAAAAAAAATCATCAAAGCAAAAATAACTATTCCACAATGGTTATACATACCCAAGAAAAGGTTTTCTAACTCCAGTCCAAGGAGAAACTTTTTATTAAATGATGATGAAAGCTCTGAAGTGAGTCAATGAGATGTCTTTTATCCGGACAGACAGGCAATTTTTGGTTCTAATATATCACACATCATATCACTTACCTTTATTTTTGCAACATTCATTCTTGTCTCTAAGTAAAAGGAAGCTATACTTTATCTCCTGGCTGTCTAGGAGCACTGATTGTTAGCTGAATTTCTGCCAGATACTTTCCTTCAACAAAGAAGGAAAAAAAATATTTTTCTTTTTTTATTTTATTTTATTTTATTTTATTTTATTTTATTTTATTTTTCTTTTTTTTTTTATTATACTTTAAGTTTTAGGGTACATGTGCACATTGTGCAGGTTAGTTACATATGTATACATGTGCCATGCTGGTGCGCTGCACCCACTAACTCGTCATCTAGCCTTAGGTATATCTCCCAATGCTATCCCTCCCCGCTCCCCCCACCCCACCACAGTCCCCAGAGTGTGATATTCCCCTTCATGTGTCCATGTGATCTCATTGTTCAATTCCCACCTATGAGTGAGAATATGCGGTGTTTGGTTTTTTGTTCTTGCGATAGTTTACTGAGAATGACGATTTCCAATTTCATCCATGTCCCTACAAAGGACATAAACTCATCATTTTTTATGGCTGCATAGTATTCCATGGTGTATATGTGCCACATATGTTTATTGCAGTATTATTCACAATAGCAAAGACTTGGAACCAACCCAAATGTCCAACAATGATAGACTGGATTAAGAAAAAAAATATTTTTCAAGCAAGTGCTTTGTAGTTCAGTCAGCTTGGCTTTTAGAGAATACTTTTGGGTGATGTTTCAAGAAGTATTTGGTCTAAGAATAAGGACCTTCCCCCACCTTGACCACAAAAGCACTCTGCAGCTAGACAAATACATTAATGGGAATCAATATTGAATTAAAAATCATTTAACTTGTGGAAGTGTTTGAGTTTTGGTTTTTCCTCAGTTTTACAAATCTGCATATTTATTTAAATTTGATGTATGTCTTGTAATACATTATTGACATATAATTGAACAAAACCCTAAGTAGAAAATTCAGTGTATGTCATAAGATAGTGAAACAGTCTCTAGTTATCTGTTAATATGTAAAAAGCTATCACAATAATTGGTGGCTTCAAATGATATCATTTTGCTAAATTTGAGAATTTTGTGGGTTAGGATTTTGCCTGGGTGACTGTCCAGCTCCACGAGGGGTAAACTGGGGTTCTTGGGCAGCAGCTCTGGTCAGAAAGGCCCAAGATGCTGTCTCATGCTCCCAGGACCTTGGCAGGATGGCTGGAAGGCTGGGCTCAGCTGGGCTCCTTTCTCTTGTCTGACCAGGGCCTCCACATTTTCTATTCCACAGAGTACTCAAACTTTTTACATGACCTCTTAAGACTCCAAGATTCCAAGGCAGAAACTACCCATCCTCTTAAAATGCTAGGTCCAGGACAAGAATGGAGTCACTCTGCCACACTCTAGCAGTCAAGTCAGTCACTACTAGCTGGTTCACATTCAAAGGAGGAGAAATGGCCCTACTGCTCTACAGGAATAGTGCAGAAAAACTCGCAGTGATGTCATGCAGTACAATGACTTTGCTCTCTCTACTTTTTAAAACGTTGGTGGAGTCACAGAAAGTGTATGTTATCCAAATTAGTTTGTGTTTTTTTCTTTTCATGATACTGTAACATAAAGTTAGGAGTACTTTGACCTATACACATTTAAATACATTTCAGTTGCCTTAAGATTCAGCTTTAATACAGTCTGAAAGTGGTTTTTTTTTTTAGACAAAGTCTTGCTCTGTTGCCCAGGCTGGAGTGCAGTGGCACCATCTCGGCTCACTGCAACCTCCGCCTCCTGGGTTCAAGCAATTCTCTTGCCTCAGCCTCCAGAGTAGCTGGGACTACAGGCACGCACCACCACGCCAGACTAATTTTTTGTATTTTAGTAGAAACGGGATTTCACAGTGTTGCCCAGGCTGGTCTCGAACTCCTGAGCTCAGGCAATCCACCCACCTCAGCCTCCCAAAGTGCTAGGATTACCGCGCCCCACCTGAAAGTGATTTTAATAATCAACTTTTCACAGCAAACAGCAAGTCTCGAAAATAAATTAAAGTTTCATTAGTATTAACTGGTGGAAGATCCACAAAGCTCAAACCATAAACTAATGCTATAACTGAATTCCCATTTTCAATACTAAGACTGAAGTAGCATCAATCAGTCCTTTGTGATGATTATTAAATTTTATACCCAATTGTGCCAAACTATTTCTCATTTTTCTTGTAATGCAAAGTGGTTTCATCACATATTAGGAATGTTTCTTGGCAAGCAGGCAGTAAAAGCACCATAATAATTACATATGTTGTTAGAATGTTTGCATAATTAATTCATCTGGTAAATTATGTTTTATGCTCATGCAGCTGTTATACTTACAGAACACATATTTGACCCTCTTAGAACTTTTAATAGAAGCATTTCTACCTATCAACAAAGGATAACATGTAGCAATTTTGCATTAAACAAAAGTTGAGTTTTTGATCAATTTGAATAAAATGCCTGAACAATTTTTAATTCAAGCTTTCCCTTCATGTCTGCACTTACAACCTCAGAGGAAAAAAATGCATCATATCATTGGAAACTGTAATTTTGCACTCTGTTCTACTTGTATTGTATAATCTTAGAGAGCACTTAGAAAGTTTGTTGGCAAATATTAGTTTTACTGCCAGCTTTCTTACCAATTAATCTTATGATCTTGATTAGCTCAACCTTCCATGTCTCAAATTCTTCAAATAAAATATTGATTAGATGACTTTTTCAGGTCTAGCATTAAGATATTATGTAATAACTATACACCCGTAATGCTTCTTTTATGGGTTGATTTATGTGACATAAATTTTATTTTTAAATTTAATATAAATTACTCAAATTGACATATTTGATTAAATATACTTTATTTATTTATTCCCTTATTCCCATATTATACAATTTAGAATGATAAACTAAAGGGGCTAAAGAGAAGATTTTTATTTGTTTTTGTTTCACAGAATTTATTTACCAAAGCAATGTGCCTAACTGTAAGTGAAATATAAATACAATGGACTTTAAAAGCAAACAAATCTGCACATTTGTCTGCACATGAAATTGACAGAAAAATTGACTTTATCCACTATTAATGAATTATATGCTGTCTATGCATGAAATTGACAGAGAGTTTGAGTTTATTCACTATTGATAAAAATTAATCATTGGTCTATGAATGTCTGGAATGACATAATATTGAATAATTTGATAAATATTTTAAACGAATCTCAATTTTGTACAGGCATCTTTGCATGATGTGTTGGAAATCTAATATTCTAAAAGGCTAGCCTTTAAAATCTGAATCATAGCCGGATCTTTTTAGAACAAAAAAAATGGCTTACATTAATCAAAATGACAGTATTCAACATATGGTCATGATGTGGGTCATTCTTTGTGATTACAGAATGCTTCCTAACCATGGCCGTGTGCCGATTACTGATGATACGGTTTTTCTGATTCCATAATCTAACAGATTCACTCCGATTCTCCAATTGCCCATAACCCCAAACACTATAGACAAATCACTCCCCAGTTTATCCACAACTGCCCACTATTTTTCCTAACCACAGAATAGTGAAACTGAGCAGGACTTTTATTCAACACTTAATTCCATCACAAGATAGACGAAATTTAGGCAAGTTGGGACCCTCATCTTCTTCTCTGTAAATATAAGTACAAGCTGTAAAGGATGCTGGGCTTGGAGAAGAATGTCAGGAGTTGGGGTCACTGGGTCATTCGCATAGCAACAAAGTAGAAATGGGAGCTGGGCAAAGGCTGACTTTAAGTGAATCTTTGGTGACACCTTTCCAAAGAGAGGATAACAGTTTCCTGCAGAGGTATTCCAGCTGTTCTAAACATTAAATCTTTCAGGTTCACTCAGATAAATGGGCCTTGACCCTTCCTAAAAAAACATACTAAGGCTTCTTTAGATTTGAATGTAATTCTGATTTATACATCTTGCTTCTCACTTTATTAAAATTAAATTAAATGCTGCATTTGTTCTGAGCTTCATGATGGGTCTTCAGCCCTTCGGTGTCTGTCATGCCTGGCAGTCATTAAGCCTGTGTTTTCAATTATAATTTAAGAACTTCACTGAACAAACTATGGTACCAACTGTCTAAAATCCGCTATCCACATACACACAGTGGAAAAAAAAAGTTTTAAAAAACGTTTAAAATAAAAATACGAAAGGAGTCACAAAAGACTCATATTTCATATGCTAATTTCTTTCATGTCTTTTGAAAATAATCATTATCAAATATTTATGATGGTAGTGATGTGTGTGTATCTTCTGGCCTTGTTTGTACTTTAAACTGTTTGTGAATTTACTGGGAAATCCATCTATCTTCATATAAGTGCATGACTTAAATTCCATAGCAAGAGAAGGAAAGTTATTTGTTATCTAGGGAGAAATATGACCGCATGCCAAGTTTACAGCCACATATTTTAATTAACAAGCTATTGACCTGTTAAAAATACTAAATACAAATAATGTAAAAAATTTAGTCTTCCCATTGCAAAACCTGTTATTCAAAGAAATCCACAGAATCATTAATAAGCCCTTAACACAATTAGCTTTATCAAGCAGCCGATAATTTTTCTAGAGACAAATTTTTAGATTATAAAGTTCTGTATAACTTTTAGTTACATGTCAGCACTTAATGATATTTACTTCCCAAATTTTATTAATTTTTAGATATAAATGAGTTGACAGAATTGTACAATAGACACCCATAAGTCTTCCACCTAGATTCAACAACTATTATTTTTGTATATTTGCTTTCTCTTATTCTCTCTCTCTCTCAATCTGAATTTGTGTCAGAAAAATCATGACAATTCATCTCTAAATATTTATTAAATATTTCATAAGAATAAAGAAATGCTACATCCCTACATCTATAATATAATTACCACAATTGACTAAATTAAAATAATCATCTTATCATCTAATATCAAATCCAAACTCAAATTTTTCTCAGGAATTTTGTTTTATTATCAGAAATATCTTTCATAGAGTTTGCTTTTCTAAACCAGGAACCAAAACAAACAAAAAAGCAACATGAGTTATGTTTGATTGTTTTGCTTTAAGTGACATTTTTTGTGTTTTTTTAGCCTGCAATGCAATGATTTCTTAGTGACTCTAACCTTTTTAAGCATTTTTCGTGACTGTGATATTAGAAGATTTTACATTAATTGTCAAGTTCTACATTATTTCTCAGATTATTTCTTCACGTTTAACATCTTCCCTAATGCACTATATTTTCTGTAAACTCTATTAAATTTCTGGGTTCTTGATTAAACTTAAGATTTTTTTTTTGCAAGAATACACAGGTGATGTTTGGATGATAATATTGACTATATAGTTTCCATTATCAAGCAATAATCTATTTCCCATATAGTCTCCTCAGAGAAAATAGAAAGTTTTTTTTTTCAATTCAAGATGTTTTCACAGATTGTATAAAAGAAGAATAGCTTTTGAAGGACTCTTCATGAGCTCTTAGTTTCAGAATCTCATTTTATACAAGAGAATACCAGGTAAACACTAATAGGCGTAAAGGGCGTGAGTGATTCCTATTCTCTCTCTTGCTCTTGTTCCTGATCTCCTAGTAATGGGGCTCTGCTCTCTCACCCCCATGCCTTGCAAGGAACCAAGCAGCCTATGTTCTCAGGCTATCTATTCTCCTCCCAACAAAAATGGAATTGCAACAATTTCAGGATTTTTTAAAAACATGTTAAATATGTTATTTTTAAAAAATTTAAACTGGTTTATCACTAATAATTAAATGAGAATAACAAAGAGGTTCAGCAATAAAATATTGTAATTATAGAATAATAATAACATAAGAATATTAATACAGATACTAATAATAAAAATTAAAGCTCTACAATTTATTCTCTTATCTTTGGAAAAATGTCTTATATAGATACAACTACAACACAATGGACAGCCATATTTTGTATCATGTTCAACATCAAAAGTTATGGGGAAATTTTCACAATCAGAACACATAGATGTATTTCATTTTACTAAATATGGTATGTGCAGTATTTTGTTGTAATGAATGCATCACAATTTGTATCATTGTTCTTCTCTTTATGTTCATTTTTGTTGTTAAAATTTGGTAGTATGTGTGTTTCTGTTATAAACAATGATAGACTAATAGCTATGCACATTTTTGCTGTGTTTTCACCAAGGTGAATTATTAAACATTTTTAATTAAATGTAACTAATATGATGAGCCAAAATAGCATTCTATTATTGTTTTCTGCATTTCCATAGATTTAATTTTTGGTGACTATGTTCTCATTTGTTTTATAATCACTTGTATATTCGTGTGTGTGTGTGTTTGCAAGAGAGATTTTTTTCAAGATATTTTCTCAATATTGAAAAAATTGGACCACTTTTTTTTAGCCCATTCATTTATATTTTCTAGAAATTAGAACCTAGTCTGTCATTTTGGGTTCAGTTACTTTCCTAGACTTATCATTTGCATTTACAATTTAAAGACTTCTAAAAACTGCAGTAGTTGTTCTGGTTGGTTTTACACTTTGACATCATCATCTAGTTGTCAACATTGTTATGTAATAAAGTTTATCAATGTTTACATTAATTAGTGCTTACAGTTTTTTAATTTTCATTTTTTGAAAAACATCATACTGTGAGGTTATTTATTTTTAAATGCCCTTGTATTCTTACAGCCATGAAGTTTAATTAAAAAAAATTATTTTCGGCCGGGCGCGGTGGCTCACGCCTGTAATCCCAGCACTTTGGGAGGCCGAGGCGGGCGGATCACGAGGTCAGGAGATCGAGACCATCCCGGCTAAAACGGTGAAACCCCGTCTCTACTAAAAATACAAAAAATTAGCCAGGCGTGGTGGAGGGCGCCTGTAGTCCCAGCTACTTGGGAGGCTGAGGCAGGAGAATGGCGTGAACCCAGGAGGCGGAGCTTGCAGTGAGCCGAGATCCCGCCACTGCACTCCAGCCTGGGCGACAGAGCGAGACTCCGTCTCAAAAAAAAAAAAAAAAAAAAAAAAAAAAAAAAAATTATTTTTACCCTGGGAATTACTTTGAGGAAAGAAAGTGGTAGATTTACAGTTTTATTTATCAATGTGATAGTTCTGGGACTCATATGTATTGTACATGATGGAGCCACCAATCTCATACTTAACATGTAGCTAACCACATTTCACTTAACTAAAAATGTAAGTGATGGTAGGTTAAGAACATACATGCTATTATTAAGCTTTAACTGAATTATGATTTTTATCTTTACCTTATCAATTTACTAGAAAAGTTTGTTTTCTAAAATCATATTAATTGATCATTATTCTTTTTTTAATTCTATATTTCAATGCTTTATTATGTATTTACAAATGGCATTTTTTTTCAGTACCAGAATAATTTTTTTCCACAGCTCATCAGATATTCTGAATTCTAATCCTAACTTGTACTAGGAAGAGGAAAGAAAGAAAGGAAGGAAGGAAGGAAGGAAGGAAGGAAGGAAGGAAGGAAGGAAGAAAGAAAAGAAAGAAAGAAAGAAAGAAAGAAAGAAAGAAAGAAAGAAAGAAAGAAAGAAAAGAAAAGAAAAGAAAAGAAAAGAAAAGAAAGAGAAAGAAAGAAAGAAAGAAAGGAGGGAGGGAGGGAGGGAGGGAAGGAAGGAAGGTCAAAAGGAGGAAGGAAGCGAGGGAAGGAGGGAGAGATGGAGGGAGAGAGGAAGAGAAAGAATGAAGGAGGGAAGGAAAGAAGGAGAGAAGGAAGGTAAAGAAAAGAGAAAAGCTAATTCTTTGAGTTAATGTCATAGTTTAAATATTTTTAAATTAGTTGATGGTATCCAGTTTATTTGGGTTTATTATTTAGTTTTATATTTAACACATTTTCAATATCAATATTGAAAATCCTGGGGGATATCAATATCAGAGTAAAACCTACTTTTCATTATGTTTATTCCTCAGCATTTTTACTCACTGTGGACAACTTGCCTTTAGGTGATTAGAACTTCATTATATCTAAGAAGGTATGATCAAATAAAACCAAAAGCGATGACATTAAAATGAAGATTACTACTTTGCATGACATGGATTTATGAAATGTACACAAACATTAGAAGACAACAAACATATATTTGTTTATTGCAAAAGTTTAAAATTTGTTTAATTTAAAAAATTTTTACTTTTTTCCCCTGGTGTTAGACCAATACTCATGTTTTAAAATTTAAAATGACTGCTCCTTGCTATCTTCACCTTAGGGGGTCTTATTATTCACTTGTGGATAAATGCCAATGCCAGTTCAAATAAACGATGTTGACTGTCTGATTCATTTCCCAAGATACTCGAAATACAATGCTGTATTTGGGTTGGAAGCTCATAAATCTTTGAGGTTGAGTGTAGAGAGATTCCTAGGTGCACTCTGTTCTGATAGCATTAAAGATGAGATTTGAAGCTCTCCCACTGCAGCACGATAGTTTATCTGTAGCTGATACTATTGTAAATGACAGCCTAGTGGTAATCTAATCAATAATTTAAGATTTCTACCCTGGACCAAAATATCCACGAAGGAAGGAATTCCTAAAGTAATACATTTAATGTCTGGATAAAAGAGATTTGGCATTTCAGAATAGAGGTTCACCCAAATTGAAGTGTTCTATTGCAAACTCTCCCATTCATTAATGATTTAAAGACATCTACTGTTTTTCAGCAACATGTTTTTCCATTATTTATTTCCACCAAGGTGGGGATAATTAACTACTCTTTCTCCAGTCCAGGTTGTGATTGAATAAAAATAGTTCATGGCAGGTTACAGTACATCATTGTTTTCTCATCCTATAAATTTCTCACCTGACAGGAATGTTGAAATTTGGGCTGAAAAATTAATCATTATCTACTTTTGACCAATATATTAATATTTTATCAACTAAGACCCATTCATTTATTATTTATACCTCATCTACTTCCAAACTTTGTTTCCAGTGAATTATTAACCCAGAATTACAAATTGTAAAGTTTCAAGGGAAAAATAAGTGAAATATTGGATAAAAGCACCTGTATAAAACTGTAAGTTTCTCCCTCAAAATAAAAGAAAATAAGCACTATTCAGCAATAAGTTTCAGCTTACTTTTCTGGTAGAGAAATATGAACTGAGCTAATCACATGTCATGTATTTTATATTTGCTTGTGTTTAATATCTTGAAGAGATTTTTTTTCAATCAGGGCAATAATAAATTGATTTTCATAAGACTATCAGAAATGTATTTGCACTTATTTAGTTACTTCAGTCTAAACTACGTGTTTTTCAGCTTATGTTAACTCTTTTTTATTGTCCTAAAAGTTGCAATGTGCTATGTTAGTTAATGGAAAATTTATGAACAAGTAAAAACTTTTGCAACAATGGGAGCATTATCTAATCAATTGTGACTTACATGTAAAAATGATTCATGTGGTGGAAAATAGGAAACCTAATGATGTCCTAGCCTATTTGTAAATATATATCTAAGGATGTGTTTATGTTTAAGAAAAACATTAACCTTTTTTTTTTAGAAATATTTGTTCATTTGTTCTTCTACCCAATGAAGCAAGTCTTACTAATAAAGGCACAGATATATTTAGAAATGTATTAGAAAGATGTATTAGAAATGTATTAGAAAGTAAGATCAACAGCAGGTGGTTTACTGGAGCAGTCTTTTAATAAAACAGGTATCATTATTCTATTTTTAAAACTTTTTTATCAAACTATAACATGTATAGGAAAGTGCAAATGTCTTAACTGATTTTTTCAACTAATTGTAATAAATTGATGAACACTTCATGTAATGGACATTATGGGAAAAAGATGAACATTGCCAACAATTCAATACCCCCTTGTGGTCACTACCAGACTAATGATGGGTAACAATTATCCTGACTTTTAAACTGCAAAAGTAGTTGTATTTACTGTTTTACTTTATATACGTAGAATCAGATAGCAAGTGTCTGTCTTCTTTTGCTCAACATTATAATTGGAAGGTTCCTCCCTATTCTTGCATGCTATGTACATCATTCATTCTCACTGCTATATATAATTCAATGTGAGGAGTACTTATTAGTTTGTGTGTTTATACTGTAATCATCTGATTGCTAAGACAATGAACATAAGACTATCCTCAAGCATTCCCCGTTACTTTTCAGAAAAAATACTTCCTTCTGGACCAGGCGTTTCCTTTATAAGAAGATTTTTTTAAACAACACATTCAATTTATTTAACATATATAGGAATATTTATATTATTTTTTCAGTGAGCTTTTTTAGTATTTGTGTGTTCATTTCACTAAATTATCAAATGTATTAGCATCAAGTTGTTCATGTTATTTTTATTATCCATCTAAAATAGGAATGATACATAGTGATATAACTTCTTTTATTATTAATATACTGGTAATTTTTGTCTTTTCTCTTTTTCTCTTAATCAGCCCACCTACAGGTTTATCAATTCATTTTTAATCTTCACTGAGAACCAGCTTATGATTTCTTTATTGCTTTTCTGTTTCTATTTGCATGGTTTCTTCACTGATCTTTATTATTTCATTTTTTTGTTTATTTTGGTTTTCATTTGCTCTTCTCTTTTTAGTTTTTATGGTTGAAACTGAAATATCTTTCTTCTTCTACCATAAATGCTCAGTGGTAAAAATATATAAATATTGCTTCAGTTGCATCTTAAAATTTTGATAAGCTCTTTTTCATTTTCATTAAACTCAAATACTTTCTAATTTTGCTTTTAATTTGTTATTTGACCCATGGCTTTTTTGTAATTATAACATTTTGTTCCGACATTTAGGGATTTTTCAGATATGTATTGATTTCTAATATAATTGCATTATGGTTAGAGGAAGTAATTATATGATTTGAATCTCTTAAAATTTATTGGCCCTTGTGATATGACCCAGAATATTATGTTCTTGCAAATTTCCCATGAATATTTGCAAATAATGTGCATTTTTGGAAAGTTCTCTAATGGTCAATTAAATCAAATTTGTTGATAGTTTACTTCAGTTCTTCTATGTCTTTGCTTAAGTGCTGACTTATTTTTCTATTAAGTATTGAAAAATCAGGCCGGACGTGGTGGCTCACATCTGTAATCCCAGCACTTTGGGAGGCTGAGGTGGGCGAATCACCTGAGGTCAGGAGTTCGAGACCAGCCTGGACAACATAGCAAAACCCTGTCTCTACTAAAAGTACAAAAATTAGCTGGGTGTTGTGGCGGTCGCCTGTAATCCCAGCTACTGAGGAGGCTGAGGCAGAAGAATTGCTTGAACCCGGGAAGCAGAGGTTGCAGCAAGCCGAGATTGTGCCAGTGTACTCCAGCCTGGGCAACAAGAGCAAGACTTCATCTCAAAAAAAAAAAAAAAAAAAGGAAAAACAGTGTTGAACTATTATTATACTACAAGTGTAGAGTTGTCTATTTCTCCTTGAAGTTATATTTGCTTTTGTTCATATTTTGAAGCTTTGTTATAAAGTGCACAATTGAGATTGCTGTGTATTCTTGATTAATTGACCACTTTATCATTATAATAAAAATTTTCAAATTATATAATACTGCAAAAATTAGTCATAAATTTAATTGTTAACACAATGTTTAACTGGTTACATGTGAAGGAAAATGGAAGAAGATAGACCAGGTAATATAATTGTTAATACCCAAACAAAAACAATGACAAAGCTATAGAATGTGGAATGTGTGTGTGTCTGTGTGGGCATGTGTGTGTGCACATGTGTGTGTATAGATATAAATATTCCAGTTTTCAACAACAAAAATCATATGTCATTGTAAGTCATATAAAGAAAGAGAAACAGGAAAGTGTGATTCATACAAAGGAGCCGAAGCCAAAACCCAAACCAAAACATAACAAAGGAAGAAACAGAAATTGCTTTTGAGAGGGCTCAGATGTTGGAATTAGAAGATAAACACTTCAAAGCAGCAATTATAAGCATGTTCAAAGAACTAAAGGAAACCATGTTTAAAACAGTAAAACAATATATACGACAATATATTTATGTATGTATTTCCTTTTTTGGGGGGGTACGGGGGCAGAGGCTTACTCTGTCACCCAGGCTGGAATTCAGTGGCATGATCATAGCTTATTGTTGCCTCAACCTCCTGGGCTCTAGTCATCCTCTCGCCTTAGCCCCCCAAGTAGCTGGAAGTACGGGTGTGCACCACCATGTCAGGCTATTGTTTTGTTGTTGTTGTTAGAGGCAGAGTCTCACTGTGTTGCCCAGGCTGGTCTTGACTCCTGAACTCAAGAGATCCTCATGTCTCAACATGCCAAAGTGCTAGGATTACAGGTGAGAACCGCTGCACCCGGTCAATATAAGACAATGTGTTATGAATTTCGGCATAGGAATAAAGAGATATAACTTATTCTAAAAAGTCAAAGGGGAATTCTGATAATTGAAATGAAAAATATACTACATTAGCTCAATAGCGTATTTGAACTGGCAGAAGAATCAGTCAATTGGAAGATAGATCAATAAATTATAAAATCTGAAGAACACAAAAAATAAAAATGAAGAAAAAAATGACATAGCCTCAGAGACATGAGAAAACATTAAACGCACCAATTTAAGTGTAATGGAAGTACCAGAGGGAAGCGAAAGAGAAAGGGGCAGAAAAAATATTTAAAAAAACACCAAGGATGGAAACATTTTAAACTTTGATTTAAAAAAACATTAATTGATAACTTCAAGAAGCTAAAAAAATTCTAATTAGGATAAACAGAGATCCACAATTAGACACATCATAGTAAAAATGGTGAAAGACAAAAACAAAGATAAATTATTGTAAGCTGCAAAAGAAAAAACACATGACATGCACAAGGTAACCCTCACAAATTTATCAGCTCATTTCTCAGCAGAAACAATGACATCAAGAGAAAGTGAGATGACATATTCAAAGTTTCGAAAGAAAAAATTCTAACCAACAATTTTATGTCCATCAATAATACCTTTCAAAATTGATGGTGAAATAAAACATTCCTAGATAAACAAAAACTGAACTAATATGTTGCTATCAAAACCAGCTGGAAATAAATACTAAAAAGAAGTTCTTCATGCTGAAAGCAAGTAACCTCAGACATTAATTTGAATCCACATGATAAAAAGAGCAACAAAAATAGAGATTGTTTAATTATGAATGATATTGGAAATGTACGTCCTGTCTTGATGGATTTAAATAGCAATTGCATAAAAATTTATGTAAATAATTGCACTGTTTGTGTTATAATGTATAGAAATAAAATTTGACTAACAGCACAAAGAAAACTAATAAGGAGGAAGCTGTACTGACAAAAATAAATGATAAATGACACTAGATAAGATGTTAACTCGAATCCACAAGAACAAATAATAACAGAAAAGATAAATTAAAAGGTTAATATAAAAATTACAAATATATAATTGTTCTTTTTTGTTAACTTCTTTGTCATACAAATTTGTAACGTAATAATTATAACAAAGTATTTTTTGTAACAGATGTATTTGTAATGTTTTTAACAACAACAACACACACACACAAAGAAAATAAAGAATAGAGCTATATAGCAGTCACCTTTCTATATAGTATTAGAATTACATCCATATAAATGTGAAGCATGTGAAGCATATCCCAGTAAGGTAAGATCTACATGGTAAACCCTAGAGCAACTACAACGAAAATAAATTTTTAAGACGTAGTGAAAAAATTGAAAACAAATGATTAAAATGTTTCACTGGTTTCATTCTATTGAGGGAATGAAAGTGCTACACTAGAATATATTCAAATAATGGAAATGAATGCAGTAAAGGAAGGATAAAGAAACATACGAGACAAAGAAAACAAAAGCGTAAAATAGCAGATGTAACCATATCAATTAAAGTATTAAATGAGAATGAATTAAACAACAAAGTCAAAAGGCAGAGACTCTAAGACTGGATAAATATCAAGTTCCATATACATGCTTTTTATAGGAGACATGTTTTAGAGTCAAAGTTCCAAATATTTTGAAAGTAAAAGAATATAAAAATATACATCATGCAAAGGACATCCTTAAGTAAACTGGAGTGGCTATATTAATTTGAGTCAATAGACATTACAAAAATTAATGTTACTAGAGATAAAGAAGGACATTTTAAAATAATAAATGTATCAATCCTTCAGGAAAAATAATAACAATCATAAATTTGTATCTACAGAACGACGGAGTTCTAAAATACATGAAGTAAAGCTGATATAATTGACAGAAATAAACAAGTTAACACGGACAGTTTGAACTTCACTTCCTCTTTTTCAGTAACTGACAGAAGAACTAAAAAGGTCAAGAGAAAATAACCTACTTGAACACACTATAAACCAACTATACTTAGCAGATATCTATAGAAGATGGCACTCAACAATATTAGAATATATATATAATTTTTCCCCTCAAAAACACATTAATATGATTAATGATAGAACTCTTGATAGGCTATAAAATAATTCTCAAAAAGTTTAAAGGATTGAGATAATATAATATTCTCTGATCACTTGTAGTAGAATTAGAAATCTATAATAAAAGAAAATTTGAAAAAAAAATCCCAAACATGTGAACATTACAAAACAAATTCCTAAGTAACCAATGTATTAAAGAGGAAGTCACAAGGAAAATTAGAAAATACTTTAAAATGAGAGCAAATTAAGACAAACATGCCACAAATTAATAGTGCTTAGCTAAATCAGTGCTTAGAGAGAAATATATAACTTTAAATGCCTAAATTTGAACAATCTCAAAGAAATAACCTCACCTTTCATCTTAAGACCATATAAATAGAAGAGCAAATGAAACCCAATATAAGTAGATGGGGAGAAATGGTAAATATTGAAATAAATTAATTAAATAGAGAATATAAAAACAGGGAAAATCAACTACATCAAATGTTGGCTATTTAAAAATATAAACTAAGTTGACAAGCTTTTAGACTGACCAAGAGGAAAAGAATAAAGATTCAAATTAAAGAGGGCATTACAATCAACCTTGCAGAAAGAAAAACAACAAGGAAGTGCTAAGAGTAACTGTGTGACTACTATTAGACCATTCCTAGAAATACACGAACTGTCCAAAGTAACTCAAGACAAAATAAAGTACCTGAACTTCTTTACTTATATAACAGGTGTTTTGGTTTGAGTGTGTACCCTTCAAAATTCAGATGTTAAAATTTAATGTGATGGTATTTAGAGGTGAGTCCATTAAGAGGTTCTCCTCACATGTCTGTCCCCTTTAGAGAATACAAGCCTCACCAGACAACCAAATCTACTCATGCCTTGATATTGGACTTCCTAGCCTCCAGAGCTCTGAGGAGATAAATTTCTGTTCTTTATAAATTATCTAGTCTGTGGTATTCTGTTATAGTGGTGCAAACAGACAAATAAAGAAATTGAATTAGTAAAATTAAATAAATAAATAAATTCTACCGATATAAAAAAGCCCACATGTGGATGTATCCCTGGTGAATGTTACCACACATTTAAAGAATAATTGATAGCTGTTCTTCACAAAGTCTTCCAAAAAATGGAACTCGAGGAAACATTCTGTAATTCACTCTATCATCAAAATTTATTGGATTACCCTGAAACCAAAATAACACAAAGACACAAGGAAAGGACACAGCGTGACAGCTCTTATAAATACACATACACAAATTCTTAACAAAATAATAATAAACTCATTCAGTAAATATAATAGGATTACAGACTATAACAAAATATGATTTATCCATGCAAGATTGGTTTAACATTTAAAAATCCACTAATATAATATGCTATATCAATAGAATAAAAGAAAACAAATCATTTTCTCAATGGATGCACAAAATACTATTTTAAAAACGCAGCACTGTTTCAAGAGAAAAAACACTCAGCAAACTAGAAATAAAAGGAAACTCCTCCATCTGATAAAGAACATCTCATCTACAATAAACCCACAGCTAACATAAATACTTAATTGTGTAAGACTGAAGGCTTACACAATCACTACCATTTTACTATCAAGAGCTGGACAAGGATGCCCACTTGCATTAATTGTGTAAACATTGTACTGAAAGTTCAACCTAGAGTTAATTAGTTAAGAATATGTAATAAAATATATCAATATTAATCCATGTTCCTAGTTATGTGTTAGTGTATTGGTCAAGCATCTTAGCTACAAACAGAATCCACTGTAGCTAAGTTAAGCAGGAAGTAAATTATTAAACAAAATATATCATTTGAAGATGCTATAGAAGTAGTCTCTAAGATGAGCTTTCAAGCACATTTTTATTAAAACCCTACATAGCTAGCCTGATTAAAAGTTGCAATCCCACATACACATAAACAAGTAAATTAATTGTTGTGAAGTTTCCTCATGAAAGCTTCCAAGGACATTTTGAGACAGCTCTCTTATCTTACAAGCATGTGCTTCTGCAAGGAAAAAAAATATATAAAAAGGGAAAAATAAGGAAGGAATCAAGGGTGAATGTGATGGACAGACTCAGAGGTGGTCCCTCATGATCCCAGGCTTAGTGCTATGCCACTGTGTTTCCCTTCTCCTTGAGTTTGGGCAGGATCTGTGGCTTGCTTCTAAACAATAGAACACAGCAAAGCTCTTGTGATGTTACTCACATGACAAGGTTACTTTTATACATTCAAGACTCTTTCCTGCTAACAGATTCTCATTAGAAACACTCCTTGCTGTCTTGATGAAGTAAGCAGACATGTTGGAAATCCACATGTAAAGATCTTCTAGGAACAGCAGACAGCCTCTAATAACTGAGGGTCACCTCCAGCTGACAGCCAGCAAGAAACCAGTGTTGTCAATCCTATAACTACAAGGAAATGAACGCTGCCAAGAACTCGAAGAGCCTGGAAGTGGATCCTTGACAAGTCAAGTCATGAGATGACCACAGCCTCAGTCAACACCTTGACTGTAGCTTCGTGAAACCCTAAACAGAAGACTTTGCTAAGCTGTGCCTAGAATCCTGTCTCAGAGAAACTTCAGATAATATATTTGTGTTGTTTTAAGCCACTAAATTTGTGGATATTTGTTACGTAGCAATGAAATACTAATGCAGGAAGTAAAAGAAAATCACTAAAATATACCATTTCTTAAATAAATAATGAACATAAAAGATACACTCTTAACAATCTGGAATTTAAGACAAGTAAATATTAAGCCAGGATAAATGGGAGGGTGAGGACTTATCAGAGAGAGATAAAAGTGTGCTATAATACTTATATTGCTTAGGAAGAAAATATAGATACTGGTAAGCTTTATGCATACATAGGAAAATATTACTGTGGTAATTAGTAATTTATAAGTAAATATTAAAAGAAATGTACATGTACAACTATCAATCAGTTAAAACAAAGTTAGAAACTTCTTTCAATGTAAGAAAAAAATCAGGAAAAAAATGAAGAAATAAAAG
Organism: Homo sapiens; assembly: GCF_000001405.40. Classification (NCBI taxonomy): domain Eukaryota; kingdom Metazoa; phylum Chordata; class Mammalia; order Primates; family Hominidae; genus Homo; species Homo sapiens. The sequence goes on along the minus strand of NC_000005.10, from coordinate 21,641,069 downwards.
CATGAAAAATAGTATTTACAAAATAAGATGTCAGTACCTGAGTCCTAACATCAACAATTAAAACAAATATAAATGTATTAAGAGATTAAAAATGTGATAGTCTTAGGTGTTACAAAACCAACATGAAAAGACCTGGTGCTATGTTATTTTAGGAGACATGCTTAAAACTAATGAACAGAGCTAATGAAGATAGATAATGAAGGTAGATAATAGACAGACAATAGAAAAAGATAGATAATAGGAGATAGGTAATATGTGATAGATATACAAGGAATAGATGCACCAAAAGAAAGCTGGAAAAGAAATTATAATGTAAGACAAAATAATGAAAAAAATATTAAAAGGTAAAATGGATAATATCTGATGTTTGTGAAAGGAAGACTAAACTAAGTTGGCACAACCCTTCTGAACATGTGTGTCTATAACACCATAGTCCTGAAAAAGGTGAACTATCAGAAAATATAGAAAAATATTAAAATCTATAAATTGAAGATGAATGTATTTTAGTAATACAATGATATATGATATTCAAATCACATTATTAGCAAGCTTGACTAAACAGATGTAGATAGGACTTTGACGTAAAAATAAGTTAGAACAAAAATCATTTGTTATAAAGCATTCATTGGATGGTCATACATGTTGATTTGACCCGAGGTCAAATAATTCAATAAAGGATCATATGTTACATTTATGGGTCATGTCTTGCTTGTCTTGTTCAAGTCGAAAAATTCTAAGACTTTCCTTGATTTTTATAATGTTGTGATTTTCCAAGATACTCACATGTTTTGTTTTATCTGATGCTTTATCATAATTATATTCAGATTATGCATTTTTTGTCAAGAATATCATGTCATCCTTTCAAGTGATATACAATTTTGATTTCTCACATTAGTGATGTGCTAATTTTGATCACTTGATTTGGTGAAGTAAGCCAAGTTTCTCCACTGTAAAGTAATTGCCTCTTTGTAATTAAAAAGTGCTTTGTGGAAATTATTTTGAGACTATCCAGTATTCAATTTGTATGAAACTTCTACTCACAGTATATTCATTCACTGACATTTTGTACCACCAATAATCATTCCAATAGTTATCAGGTGGTGATTTTTTAATTCCAACATTTCTTCTAAATTTTTCAGTTGTCTTCTTACTTAAGAAAGAGCATTCTCTTCTACCTATTTATATATTAAGATATTTATTATATAATTTTAAATACATTGAGCTATTCTCCTAAAGAACCCTGATTGTTTCTAGTGGAGAATAAAATTAGAGTCCATGATTTCAGTGCTAATTATGTTCCTGGCTCTCTCACTTTCTCAAAGAACAGAGAGTTAGGAAACACACACATACAGATTTACAGTTATAATTATTTCTATATCTATTTATCTAATCTATTTATCCATCTATTTAAGAATTATCTATCAAAAACAAAATTCACAATATCTCAAATTTAATTTCCAATCCTACAACAGAGAGAATATTCTAGCTTTCTGTTTTCCATTTTTGTATCCTCTGACACTATAGGAGTACTATGTTGGAACTCACTGCTCTCTCTAAAATAAATTTTTCACAAATAAATACTTCATTAATTTTCAAAAGTTTGAAATTTTCACCCTCCTGATATGGGTTAGTCATCTAAACAAAATTGACTTAATTTTAAATTTGTGACGGCCTGTATTCTAACTCACTTTTAGTATCTAATGTCATTCAACTTCATGTTACCCAAAACTTACATTTTAGTTCCTATTACATTTTACTTTTTATTGAAATATTGAAAAAAAAACCTCATGTTTACTTTATGAATTATTTTTTTAAATAGAAAAATTTGAGGTAGACTATCTGAGAAATGTCAGATATAATCGCTTTACAGCTTATTATGTTCTGAGAGGCTGAACTCTATGAATACTCTTAAATGCATTAGTGGAATAACATCAGATTACCAGTAATTGTATTCTCTGTTTCTATTTTTCCTGCATAATACCACCTTATATAACCTTTTATGATTTGGTTCAAATTAGATTTGAGTTATAACTGCAAAGTTCTTGATATGGTTTGGCTGTTTGTCCCCACCCAAATCTCATCTTGAATTGTACTCCCATAATTCCCATGTGTTATGGGAGGGACCCAGTGGGAGATAATTTGAATCATGGGGACGGTTTCCCCAACTCTATTCTCATGATGGGTTTATCAGGGGTTTCCGATTTTGCATCTTCCTCATCTTCTCTTGCTGCCACCAGGTAAGAAGTGCCTCTTGCCTCTTGCCATGATTCCGAGGCCTCCCTAGCCATGTAAAACAGTACATCCAATTAAACCTTTTTGTCTTCCAATCTCGGGTATGTCTTTATCAGCAGCAGGAAAATGGACTAACACAGTTCTCATACTAAATTGATTAGGGAAGCGACCTAAGAGTTATTCTTTACCTGGATAAATAATGTAGAACACAGACTATGCAACCACACTAGATAATATGCAATTTCTATGTCTCATATATGGGAAAAATCCACAGTTGAATATGCTAATTTTCCCTACCACCAAAAAATGTGGAGGAAAACAGCAAAAATAAAACATTGTTATTTTTCAAATTCTAAATAAGAAGTAATAAAATAACTTTAAATATCAATCAACTTTTTATCACTTTTAAGAATAATTTTTTATTTTTTCAAGCATATTGAAAATCATTACCACTGTCTTTGACCTTCTATTTGCAAATAAATTTATTTTCCAAACTTTCCTAAGTTGTTTTCTTGCAACAGTAATAAAAAAAATGACCTTTGTAAAAGCTTTTCTAGAAGAGGCATCTGACACAAATTACAAAATAATACACATGCTTTCAAATGATAATTGGTATAAAATTTTGTTTAGGCCTATATCATGGATTTGAAGTTTCAATAAACCATTAATGAAGAAGATTTGGGGGGAAATAGGATAAAACTGTTTAAAATATCACTCAAAGTGTGTGTATGGAGAAAAGAGAGAAAACATTACAGATAAATAGCAAGTTTTAACTTCTTTACTGCATGGTCATAAAAGATAAAGGTGGCCCACTTTCCTCTTTCTCTGTACACACATTTTCAGATATCTGGTCTCTGCAGGAGTATAAGTTACCCAAAGTTCAAATCCTGGAATGCAACAGATTTGCCTGATTAAAGGAATAGTAAATAATTAACAATAATAACAAATGCATAAATATTATATATACTATAGATGTGTCATGAATGCTGATTTATCATTCTCTTGTAACATTTCGTTATGCCTGAGTTCCATTATAAAATCAAAATAAATGTTAAGTAATTCTAATTACTTTGTTGCCTCTATGATTCTTGAGGGATTAAAAAATAATTATCATTTAGGCAAATATTATCTTGTGAATAAGTAGAGGGTACAAAAAATAGTTATAAAAACATTCAACAGACAAATTACTATAATCTTCAAAACTGTTGCTGAGGTGATATAAATGTGGGAAAAAATAATGGAGGAAGTTAGAGTATTAAGAGTATTCTTGCTAAGACCTTTTAACATTCTATGATTTTTCTAATTTTCTGATTGTATAATTCTAAGTAATGAATGTATTTTAAAGTTAAGCAAAGTCATTTATTATGATTATATAGTTCAAATCATAAATGAATTTAGAGTGTTGATTCATATTGTATTTTGGGTGTTATGTATTATTTCCCAAAGTTAATGGACCCAAAGCCTTCATAGAATGGTTTTATCATGGTGAATCTATCATGAGCCAGAATCTGTTCTGAACTGTCACAATGCTTATATGGTGCATTCTTCTTTCTAAATCACATTCATATTAACCGTATTCACAGAGACTGGTACAAGAAAAACTTAAAGTACAGAGTTAATGATCAAATTATTTAATAATCAATACATCATGGGTACAAAACAATAAAATGGGAACCAGTATTGGTGTAAATCATTGATGACTTGCCTGCACTGAGAACCTGAAAACAAGCTTAGTAGATCCAACTTATTGTCATGGTAGGCAACCTAAAGGGGGAGCCAAATTATAATTAGAATGTTATTTGGATAGAGTGTAATAAAATAAAGGGAGTTAGCTCATCACTCAAAGATGGTTGACATTGCCAGCAGTCAACTAGTATTTCTCCCAGGATGCCGTCCACATATGCCAGTGCTCTCATGCCACCTCACTCCACCTCAGAGCAGAGAGAAGGCTTTGAGCAGAGACAATATCGTTAGGCTAAAGATGAGTCGGTTACATTCATAGAACTCACAGACAGGTTATCATAGCTTTCTCAGGTGGTCCAAACTAATTATACATACTTACATGTGGAGAATGTTTCCCAGTTTTGTTCAGAGAGTGAAGAATGTGATGATGAAAGAATGGTCAGAGAGATCCAGCTTTGCTGGTTTTGAAGAAGGCGGAAGGAGGCCATGAGAAAAGGAATGTGGGCAGCCTTTTGAAATTAGAAAATGGATTTCCTTCCAGGACCCTCAGAAAGTCTCACTGCCTTACCAACACCTCGATTTTAGTTCAATGAAACTTAGGATAGATGCATAATACCATAAAATAATGAATTTATGTTGATTTAAGTCACTAAATTTGAGTAATTTGTTACCGCGACTATAAACAACTGGTACAAATGTAAATAGTAATCATGGGTACAGATGTAAAGGCAAATGGTAAGCTCTCTATGTAGCTAAAGTGTCAATGAATTAAAATCTAAGTTCAAAAATATGTGCAGCAGGAATAAAGAAATATAAAAGGTGAAACAAAAGATGTTAGAATAGAATGTTAAAGTGAAACGTATCTTAAAATTATGGAGATGTATATATGTATTCTTCAAATTATTATATAGAACTATAAGCACTCCTTAAACTTTTTAGGTGCAAGTGACAGTGAGTAGGTAAGTTGTATAAGTTTTAATTCTCTCGTGAATAAAATGGTGATAATAGTGCTATCTCTTCAAAGTTGTCATAATGAAGAATAAATGATCTATGTCAGTACAGTAGCACATTTACTGGCACATAGATATAATATGCTAATATTGTAAACAAAATGCTTATGTGCTGTATATAATTCATTACATAGTGGTTTCCAAAGTCTCATCAGCTCTAGATAACATCAATGGAAAGTACATTTTATGTTTATAATCTCATGCCTATCTAATTAATCCCTTTAAGTATCCTGTGTCTAAGGTAGTAAACTAAACTCACCTCCAGACTCTTTAAAGCCCAAAGTTCAGAAATAATAATTTTTAAATGGGACTATAAAAACACATGTCCCCAGAATTTTAATAACAAAATTTAATTGCAACAATCACATTGGTTTAAAAAAATTATTTAAAAATATAGGTTCCTTTATATCTATAACTATATATCAACATTGTCTTCAATGAACGGAAAAATTAACCTTTGAACTCAAAATATTTCTTGTTTTACATTCTTGAATCAACCTATTCATTGGCGCAGGTCTTATTTATAGGATTAGACTATTTTATCCAACAATCCCTGTGGTCAAAGTATAACATAATAACTTCCCATTTTTAAATTCCAGGCAAAACTGCACTGTTTATCCTATTTTAGATAGCCTATTATCTTATGGTACAAGGCACAGAGTTAAAAATAAACTTGCTATCAACAATTTGACTGAGGTATTTGTTCCCTACCAGACATTATTAAAAGAAACCTTCCTACTACATGTTAAATAAAGCCTCTGCAAAGATTGAATTTTGGAAAAAAAAGAAATGACCTGATTAAAATTCCATAATGAACAATGAAAAAACTCTGCCTATATTAAACGTCAAACTCCCTGAAGGATAAGCTCGAGAAGCCACTGAGAAGTGGGTGCTCCTAGTTTACAGGAGCTATTATCTTCCCATTAATTTCAATACAAGAGAAACGTTGTTAGTCTAAAGACAAGTTCAAGTGGAAATTTTATCGTTGTTGCTTGTGTAGCTAAAACGTTCACTTTCTTAATGCCTTCAGTTGAGCTATGGCCAGGAGTACATAAAAAATTACCTCCTAGATGTAAAAACAAAGTCAGCAGAACAAGAACAACCAAAGAGCCTTTGTCTGATGTCTCTAGGAAGCATTCCGGATATCTCTCCTCTTCTTTGCTTAGTTCCCTTGTGTTACAACGCAGAATTCACAAAGAAGAGCCTACCTGCCCTTGTAAGAATAGGCTGGAAACCCCCACAATTAAGTGAACAAACCGTTAAAAGCTGAAAAACATAAATTATTAAGTTGCCATGATCACGTGAAAGTTGCAGATACCTGGGTAAAATCACTTTTGTCAGATCCCGACAAAAGAGGGACTGGAAAGCCCGAAGGAGAGGTGGCTCATGCTTACGTATCTAAGTAAGAACTATTTCCAAAGACTTTCTAAAAAGCCTTTTGAGTCCTTCACACATCTCATGCTTCGATAAGACAGTCTTTAGGACTGCAGTAATTCAGAGACATTCTCAGAACACTTGCCCAGTAACGGCATCTCCACCAATGAGCAGACAACTCTGACTTCGAACCTCTGAAACCAACGAGCTCTTTCTAAGCAGCTATGTAACTCTCTTTTCACCAATGAAAGCTCCCCTTACCTTTCCTTCCCCAAATGCACTGGTGGCTTAGCCCTTCATGCATTCCAGGTTATATTTCTTGTTTTTATTTCTGAGTAAACACAACATATTTAGAGACAATTTTCTCTAGTGTATTATTATTATTATTAGGGTGGCAACAAGACATGTAAAGAATGTAAAGAGGCTTTCACTAATTTGTCGTGTGTCCTTTAACCAGGGAGAGCCAGCACTGCTGAGGCTACTTTCCCACCAAATGCAAGTCTGCATGAGGCAAAGCCACTTTCCGCAGACACCTGTGGCTCTCTCAAAGTTTTACTTCTGGGCATGTGAGCATGTCCTTTACCTGCTTAGGATACTCTTGGAATGTTGTAGAAGTAATGGATGTTGGAGAAGTGAAAGATGTTTTTCTAATAGTTCTTCAACAGTAAGTGGAGTTTTCAGCTTGTATGGAGGTGAATGGTATTTCTAACTTATTTTTTGATGCAGAAAATCATGATGGAATACTATGCAGCCACAGAGGCCATCAACTCTTCAACTAATGGCAGATGGAGTGTGTTCCTTGACCCCATGAGGGGCTTAGGTATTTGCTACATTTCCCTGAGCTCGCTAGCAGGACCAATAGCAATAATTTGTTTGGTAACATATACTCTATTGAGTTTTTGCCTATTACATATCATTTTTACACTCTCCTCTATTGTCGCCTGCATTCCATCCAAATAAATTACTTGCACTCAAACCATTGTCTCAGTTTCTACTTCTAGAGGAACTCAGCCTAAGAAACCTGACAATAGCATTAATCCTCCTCAAATGGTTCCACTAAGATTTTCCACTAATGTTGTTTTTCCTTGAAATACTGAAAACATGACCTGTAAATTATACATAAAATTATTTAGGTGTAACTTTGCTCATTTAGTCCAAAATATGCTTTTTCTTTTTCCTTCAGCATTTAGAAGAAACCATTCCTTTGTTGAGCATCAGAGGAAATAATCAACTTTCATTGGAGAGACATATTATATAAAAGAAGTACCTTTATTTATTTTATTTTATTTATTTATTCTTTTGAAATGGAGTTTCACTCTTGTTGCCCAGGCTGGAGTGCAATGGTGCGATCTCAGCTCACTGCCATCTCCACCTCCCAGGTTCAAGTGATTCTCCTGATTCAGCCTCCCAAATAGCTGGGATTACAGGTGTGCACCACCATGTCCAGCTAATTTTGTATTTTTAGGGTTTTCACCATGTTGCTCAGGCTGGTCTCAAACTCCTAACCTCAACTGATCCACATGCTTCAGCCTCCCAAAGTGCTGGGACTACAGGTGTGAGCCACCACACCAGGATCCAGAAGTATCTTTAAGACCTGGAATCCTGTGCAGCATGGTGAAATGTTTACACTGTTCAAAATATAAATAAAATGAGGCCAACTAAGGGAACAAATTATTAGAATGCCTTTCTCATATGCAAGCTATAGAGTAATTGAGTGATGGGGCAGATGGAATCTTCCACACTATTTACCCCACTCTGTTTTACTCTTTCCAGTGAAACAAAGTGTTTATTTGATTTGATCAAGAAAGAAAAATGGAGGGATATTTTTCTAACAGCTCTCCAACAGTAAGGAAAGTTTTTAGCTTGTATGAAGCTGAATGGTATTTCTAATTTATTTTTTGGTAGATAAAATCATGATGGAATACTATGCAGTCATAAAAAAGAACAAAATCATATCCTTTGTAACAAGATGGATGCAGCCGGAGGCCATTAGCCCAACTGAATTCCCACAGGAACAGAAAACCAGATACCACATGTTCTCACTTATAAGTGAAAGCTAAACATTCAGTTCATATGGACATAAGGATGGGAACAACATGGCTGGGCCTGTTGGCTCACACTCCCAACATTTTGGAGTCCAAGATGGTAGGATCACTTGAACCCAGGAGTTCAAGACATGCCTGGGCAACATAGAGAGACACTGTCTCTACAAAAATAAAAATAAAATATTAGCCAGGCACGGTGATGTATGCCTGTGGTCCCACCTACTCAGGAGGCTGAGGTGGGAGGATTGAGGCTGTAATGAGATGTAATCTTACAACCGTACTCCAGCCTATGTGACAGAGTGAGACTCTATTTCAAAAAATAATAAAATAAAGTAAAATAAGGAAAACAGCAGACACTGAGGACTAATAGGGGAAGGAGGGTGGGGGGGACTAGGGTTGAATTACTATTCTCACTACCTGAATAATGGGACCATTAGTACCAAACCCCAGCTTTCTGTGATATACCCACATATGAAACCTGCATGTATACCCCGAACCTAAAATAAAAGTTGAATTTTTTTTTTAAATAAAACATTATGGTCCTTTCAAAATATGTTATGAAAGAATTAAGCAGTCTTGATTCAGTTTTCATGGATTACATGATATCCTTTAACTCTTCACAATGACTTACACTGAAGTGGTCTGGCCTCTTTATGAGATTAGTGCGTGTAGTTTACTCCCTGAAACAGTCTGAGAATATTCTAGAACTCTTAGAATTAACGTTACAATTGCCAAATTCCCAGTTGACAAATGACAACTTAAAGGAAACAGACTTTGGACAAACAGTAGTAAAGGAAGTATATGATAAGCATATCTATATTTCCAAAAATAAATAAACAAATGAGGTGTGAATTAGCCAGGCCTTCAAAGAATGAGGACTATGGTAATATGCATATATGCTCAGCGGACCTTCTGAATTCAAAAGCAGTCTGAATAAACGGTCAATTAACTTCAAGGGAAAGGCTTATAGTCAAATTGTAGTCTCCCCCATTTCCAAGACACTTCAATATAGAGTGGGGATGTATATTGCTTTTTCTTTCTATGTAAATACTTTATTGTTTCATTAGCTACCTAGATTTGAAATGGTGTATGAACACAAGTCACTGAAATGATGCTTAATGAGCTGATATTGTAAAAATGCAGACTAGAAAGGGAAAAAAGTAAAAGGACTACAGGGGACTTGTTTTCTTACAGGAAACCACATTTTCTTCTTCACTGTTTTTATGATATTAGGCAATTCTTTGTTTAGAGTCCCTCTGACAAATTATTCTTATTTCTGTAACTATTTCTAGAGGTAGCAGTGTGGCATAGCTTTACAGTCATAAAATGTAGCCTCACAAGAAAGGGATATAAGCATTTCCTGAACATCTACTATATCTCAGAATCTATGTTAGGTGTTTTACATTTATTATCTAGTTTAATTTGACCTTCAGAGCAACAATATGATGCATTATAAATTGTGGTAAGAGCATATTTGAAAACTGAGTGTTTGGGTTATAATTGTGCCTCCACTTCTAAGGTATGTAATCTTGCGTAAGTCATTTCACTTCTCTGTGATTCAATGATTAAAACTGTAAAAAGAAAAGAGATGGTAACAACGGTACCTACATCATAGAGTTATTAGGGAATTTAAATCAGCTATTTTTAAAAAATGTTTAGATTACCATCTGGCAAATAATAAGCACTAAATAATATTTGTTTTAACCAACAATTTTAAAGTTAACAGGCGATTAAAAGGGTAACCAGAACTGTGTGAATGGGTTATTTTTCTAACTGATGAATCCAGATTAGGATTGACTGTGGATCCATCTGAATAGGTGTCCTTTCCCCCTATATTAAAAAATCATGATGCAGTAAACTGCTCAATGCCCTGCAGGTGAAAAGAAGCAAAAGACAAATTAAAACTCAGTGCCTGTGACATAGAAGACATTTGATGCGTATTTACGTGGGAGATGAATGAGCAAGTAAGTTAATAATGTGTCTGACTTCTGACTCTTTTTATTGTATTAGGTTGCTTCTAGCTCAGGCATATGAATATCAATTTAAGGAAAGCCTTTGGTCTCCCTGTGACATGTCGGATGAGTTGTATCATCTGTCCTATCAACTGCAAGCCTGTTACAGGACTTTGAAATGGTAAATGTGGTGAGGTATAGGAAAGTACTTTAAAAACCATAAAACACCATTTAGGTGTATGTATGCTGTTATCTGGCAGGTGATGTGCTGCATGTTGCAAAACAAACCTAGGATTAAACTTTACTAGTTTTATGACTTTGGTAACTGCCTAAACTCTCTAAACTTCACATATCTCATGGAGAAATGAGTGTAGTAGTTCCTAACTAATAGTGAAAAGTAAATGTGTCAGACAGTGCATATAAAGTCCTTAACTTAAAACTTATCATGGTGTTTATCAGTGCATAAAGTATTATGTGTCAACTAGATCTTCCTATTATCATATTATTGTTGTTATCATTATTGTATTTTTAGCAAGACACATTTGTAGGTAGCATTTCTTCTGAGAAATAGCAAATATCAGGCATACTACTAGGTCCCCACCCTGTGACAATGGCAGATGTTGCTAATTCACAATAACCTTTCTCTTCCTGCTGTATCAGGCAGCCACTACTGACTGAAATGATAAATGGGATGCAAGTTATGTGCTGCCATTCTCTCTTAAGTTTATTTTTGTAGACTGCATTAAATATGGACAATGAAGATCATGAATGACTCAAATGCAATTTTTATAACATTCATGGTTTCTTTAATAATCTAATCTTGAAGATACACTTTTGATGTAGAAGTGGAGTCCACCAGTAACTATTAGAAAATAGCAACTTTGAAAGTTTGTCTCATTTAATCCTTTTACATATCTATAATAATTATTATTTCAAGACCAGAAAACTGGTACTCAGAAAGGTAAATAACGCAACAAAAGTCACACAGCAATCACATATTGGAGCAAGGGACCTGAGTCCCATAATTACAAAAAACACAAAATAGCAAGTTTTCATATAACTGGAAGATTCCTAGGGGAGGAGGAAAGCCGTGCTTACTCACTGAGACTGCAAAACCCAATTCAAATCTAATCTCCTTTCCTGCAGCCTTATCTACATATCTCAATGTTTAATTCTCTTTTCAACATTTTTTTCATTTAAATATCATTCAGCTATTACTTTAATAAAAGCATCTTAAGTCACAGTCTCATAATGAGATAAGATTTACTTATAATAATTCTAGTAGAGGAAAGTGCCATAAATATATGGGGTTATATTAAAACATTCTCAAAGAATTCAGAGACAAGAAATGTCATTTTCACTTGTTTCATTGGAATTTTCGTTGTATAGAAAGTGATATTCAAACTGAGCTAAGAAGACAACAAAGGCGTGAAAAAGAAGGGGTTTATGCAACAGTGGAGTGTATTTAGTTTTTCTAGGTGATATGGTTTGGATCTGTGTCCCCATCCAAAACTCATGTTGAATTTGTGAACCTAGAAAATCTGAGAGAGGTCTCAGCTAATTTAGAAAGTTTATTTTGCCAAGGTTGAGAACATGCACCCATGACTAGCTGCAGGAAATCCTGACAACATGTGCCCAAGGTAGCCGGGGTGCAGCTTGGTTTTATACATTTTAGGGAGGCATGAGATATCAATCAAGTACATTTAAGAAATACATTGGTTTGATCCAGAAAGGCAGAACAAGTCAAAGTGGGGGCTTCCAGGCTACAGGTAAATTTAAACATTTTCTGGTTGACAATTGGTTGAGGAGTGTATCTAGAGAACTGGGATCAACAGAAAGGAATATTTGGGTTGAAATAAGAGGTTGTGCAGACCAAAGTTTTATCATGCAGATGAAGCTTGAAGCTAGCAGGCTTCAGAGAGAAACAGGCTGTAAAATGTTTCTTATCAGACTTAATGTCTGTGTTGATGTGAATGACGGAGAGGTTTAATAAGGCATGTCTGACCCCCGCTTCCCTTCATGGCCTGAACCAGTCTTTCAGGTTAAATTTTAAGAGCCCTGGCTGAGAAGGTAGTCCTTTTAGATAATTTTTTTTTGGAGGGGTGCCTTAGAATTTATCTTGGTTTAAATTCTCCTTCTTCTGGCCAAGATTTGCCAGAGGCAGCATCAAAGGCCAGCAATACTTATACTGTCCCATAGCATTGGCAGAGTGGCATGACTGCCTACTCTGGGTCCACGTTGTCCCTTGGTGGGACTCCCTATGGCTGAGGGCTTTAAGAATCAAAAGACTTATAGCCAATTAATTGTTGTAGGTCAGATACAACTGGATGTGGACAGGCATTCATTTACCTCTTAAAATTGTTATTTTAGGAGGTGGCTATCAAGATGGCCAAATTGGAACAGCTCTGGTCTGCAGCTCCCAGCAAGAGCAATGCAGAAGGCAGGTGATTTCTGCATTCCCAACTGAGATACCCAGCTCATCTCATTGGGACTCGTTAGACAGTGAGTGCAGCCCACGGTGGGCAAGCTGAAGCAGTGTGGCCATCGCCTCACCTGGGAAGCTGAAGGGGTTGGGGATCTCCCTCCCATAGCCAAGGGAAGTAGTGAGGGACTGTGCCGTGAGGGACTGTGCCGTGAGGAACAGTGCATTCTGGCCCAGATACTACACTTTCCCCATGGTCTTTCTAACCTACAGACCAGGAGATTCTCTAGGGTGCCTATGCCACCAGGGCCTTGGGTTTCAAGCACAAAACTGGGTGGCTATTTGGGCAGACACCAAGCTAGCTGCAGGAGCTTTTTATTTTTTTATTTTTTGTTTTTTCATACACCAGTGGCACCTGGGATGCCAGCAAGAGAGAACTGTTACTCACTTGGAAAGGCGGCTGAAGCCAGGGAGCCAAGTGGTCTAGCTCAGTGGAGTCCACCCCTCCAGAGCCCAGTAAGCTAAGATCCACTAGCTTGAAATTCTCGCTGCCAGCGCACCAGTCTGAAGTCGACCTGGGATGCTAGGGCTTGGTGTGGGGAGGGGCACTTGCCATTACTGAGGCTTGAGTAGGTGGTTTTCCCCTCACAGGGTAAACAAAGCCTTTGGGAAGACACAACATACCCGAATCTCTGGGACACAGCTAAAGCAGTGTTTAGAGGGAAATTTATAGCACTAAATGCCCATAGGAGAAAGTGGGAAAGTTCTAAAATCAGCACCCTAACATCACAATTAAAAGAATTCAAGAAGCAAAAGTAAACAAATTCAAAACCTAGCAGAAGAGAAGAAAGAAGTAGGATCGGAGCAGAACTGAAGGAGATAGAGACACAAAAATCCCTTCAAAAAATCAATGAATCCAGGAGCTGGTTTTTTGAAAAGATTAACAAAATAGATAGACTGCTAGCCAGATGAATAAAGAAGAAAAGAGAGAAGAATCAAATAGACACAATAAAAATGATAAAGGGGATATCACCACTGATCCCACAGGAATAGAAACTACTATCAGTGAATACTATAAACACCTCTAGGCAAATAAACTAGAAAATCTAGAAGAAATGGATAAATTCCTGGACACATACACACTCTCAAGACTGAACCAGGAAGAAGTTGAATCCTTGAATAGACCAATAACAAATTCTGAAATTGAGGCAATAATTAATAGCCTACCAACCAAAAAAAGCCCAGGGCCAGATGGACTCACAGCCTAATTCTAGCAGAGGTACAAAGAGGTGCTAGTACCATTCCTTTTGAAACAATAACAATAAAATAAAGAGGGACTCCTCCCTAACACATTTTATGAGGGCAGCATCATCCTGATACCAAAACCTGGCAAAGACACAATAAAAAAAGAAAATTTCAGGCCAATATCCCTGATGAACATTGATGTGAAAATCCTCAATAAAATACTGGCAAACCAAATCCAGCAGCACATTAAAAAGCTTATCCACCACGATCAAGTCAGCTTCATCCCTGGGATGCAAGGCTAGTTCAGCATATGCAAATCAATAAATGCAATCCATCACATAAACAGAACCAATGTCAAAAACCACATGATTATCTCAATAGAAGCAGTAAAGGTTTTCAATAAAATTCAACACCCCTTCATGCTAAAAACTCTCAATAAACTAGGTATTGACAGAACGTATCTCAAAATAATAACTATTTATGACAAACCCACAGCCAATATCATACTGAATGGGCAAAAACTGGAAAACCTTTGAAAACCGGCATAAGACAAGGATGCCCTCTCTCACCACTCCTATTCAACATAGTATTGCAAGTTCTGGCCAGGGAAATTAGGCAAGACAAAGAAATAAAGCGTGTTCAATAGGAAGAGAGGAAGTCAAATTGTCTCTGTCTGCAGATGACATGATTGTCTATTTAGAAAACCCCATCATCTCAGCCCAAAATCTCCTTAAGCTGATAAGCAACTTTAGCAGTCTCAGGATACAAAATCAATGTGCAAAAATCACAAGCATTCCTATACACTAATAACAGACAAACAGAGAATAGATTACCTGGGAATACAACTTACAAGTATGTGAAGGACCTCTTTAAGGTGAACTACAAACCACTGCTCAAGGAGAGGTACACAAACAAATGGAAAAACATTCCATGCTCATGCATAGGAAGAATCAATATGGTGAAAATGGTCATACTGCCCAAAGTAATTTATAGATTCAATGCTATCCCCATCAAGCTATCATTGACTTTCTTCACAGAATTAGAAAAAACTACTTTAAATTTCATATGGAACCAAGAAAAGAGCTTGTATAGCCAAGACAATCCTAAGCAAAAAGAACAAAGCTCGAGACAGCATGCTACCTGACTTCAAACTATACTACAAGGCTACAGTAACCAAAACAGCATGGTACTGGTACCAATGGAACAGAACAGAGGCCTCAAAAATAATGCCACACATCTACAACCATTTGTTCCTTGACAAACTTGACAAAAACAAGCAATGGGGAAAGGTTTCCATATTTAATAAATTGTGTTGGGAAAACTGGGTAGCCATATGCAGAAAACTCAAACTGGACCCCTTCCTAACACCTTATACAAAAATTAACTCAAGATAGATTAAAGACTTAAACGTAAGACCTAAAACCATAAAAAACTCTAGAAGAAAACCTAGGCAATACCATTCAGGACATAGACATTGGCAAAGACTTCAAAACTAAAACACCAAAAGCAATGGCAACAAAAGTCAAATTTGACAAATGGGATCTAATTAAAATAAAGAGCTTCTGCACAGCAAAAGAAACTATGATCAGAGTAAACAGGCAACCTACAGAATGGGAGAAAATTTTTGCAATCTATCCATCTGACAAAGGGCTCATATTCAGAATCTACAAGGAACTAAAACAAATTTACAAGAAATAAACAACCCCATAAAAAAGTGGGCAAAGGACACGAACAGACACTTCTCAAAAGAAGACATTCATGCGGCCAACAAACATGAAAAAAAGCTCATCATCACTGGTCATTACAGAAACACAAATCAAAACCACAAAGAGATACTCTATCTCACACTAGTTAGAATGGTGATCATTAAAAAGTCAGGGAACAACAGATGCTGGAGAGGATGTGGAGAAATAGGAACACTTTTACACTGATATTGGGAGTGTAAATTAGTTCAACCATTGTGGAAGAGAGTATGGCGATTCCTCAAGGATCTGGAACCAGAAATACCATTTGACCCAGCAATCCCATTACTGGGTATACACCCAAAGGATTGTAAATCATTCTACCATAAAGATATATGCGCACATATGTTTATTGCAGCATTATTCACAATATCAAAGACTAGGAACCAACCCAAATGCCCATCAATGATAGACTGGATTAAGAAAATGTGGCACATATACACCATGGAATACTATGCAGCCATATAAAAGGATGAGTTCATGTCCTTTGCAGAGACATAGATGAAGATGAAAACCATCATTCTCAGCAAGCTAACACAGGAACACAAAACGAAACACCATGTGTTCTCACTCATAAGTGGGAGATGAAAAATGAGAACACATGGACACATGGAGGGGAACATCACACACTGGGGCCTGTTGTGGGGTGGGGGGACTAAGGGAGGGATTGCATTAGGAGAAACACCTAATATAGATTATGAGTTGATGGGTGCAGCAAACCACCATGGCACGTGTATACCTGTGTAACAAACCTGCACGTTCTACACATATATCCCAGAACTTAAAGTGTAATATAAAATATTGTTATTTTAAGTAAAAAGCCAACAAACAAAACCAAAAGGCAAAATTATGAGACTGACTTATTTCTAACCTCTATGTGTTGAGTTACTGTAAACTTGGTTTTTGGTACAGACTTATGGCAATTATCTATATACAAAATAAGCATTGTTCTGAAAATAATTAAAAAATATATATATATTTATCTTCTTAACTTATAAGTAGAATATTATACCCAGGAAGCTTTGTTACAAGGTATTTTTACCCTGTAAAGAAATGTTTTTCTTTAATTCTATAGTAAGCAGGAAATTCTCTGTGGTTGGGGTGGATGCAAAGTTGATACATAATTGTTTAGAAGGCAACTAAACTTGTTTTACTAGTTGTTTAGGCATATTTGTACCCCTTCTTGATTTGGAGGGTTTGATCTTGACCTAATTTTATCCCTCAAAACTGGCCCTTATAATCTTATGCACCCACCTCTTCTGCAGTATCCCCTGGGCCTGGAGGAAGGGTGCTTGTGTGGTTGAGCGGCGGAGCATTCACAGTGAAACTGATCCAGGCCTCCTGGGATGCCAAATGAGGGAGATTCATGTCTCTGGTATGATGATTTTGGTATCCTGGAAAGTCAAACAAGGAGAGATAAATAACATTTATAATTTGACAATTATAAGACTAATTTGTATGTCAGAACAGGAAAATAAACTATTCCATTAGGGCACCAACTAAAAATATGAAGAAAAATTATAATCTGGTACTCTCTGGAGAATTACTGTAGCCAATAAATAATGATTTATTCTGCACTCAAAAAAAAAAAGTTGGGGCTGAGATTTAGCATTAGGTGTTATGCTTTTCCCTCGAAACAATTTATTGAGCTTTTTTTTAATTAAAGAGATATTATAGCAGGACCATTTTGTGTACAAAATAAGTTTTAGGCTTATTAAATTCAGTCTGATTATTTTGCATAGAATGCAGCAAGAATTGATTGGCCATGGAGGCTTTTTTAAGTTGGCCTTGCCTGAACTTTACCTACAAATACGCTAGTTTAGTTAAAGTCTTAGAAAAATAACTGGTGTCTCCAGTTGTTTCAAAATACTCTCATTGAATTTATGCAGATAACTATATTGTCATAAAATTACAAATTGAATTTTAGAACTTAGACAAAAAGGTAAACTTGCTTATAAAAACATATGTTACCCAAATAACTTAAAAGCAAAATATTTTTTGACCCTTCTTTAACTAGAGCAGCAGCTTTTAAAACAAGACGTTGATTTACCTTGGAAATTCCATTTACAAACCAAGCAGCTCACGAGAAGTGCCTATTAGGCACTGTGGAATTTAGCAGCTCCTCATAATTAGTCTTTGGAAAGAGTCTCCTGCTTATTAGGTAGCAAGATTTTATGTAAACCATTTTTATTTTATCATGGAACTCTTTTGAGAAACTTTGTTTCCATTAGCATAGGGGTAGCTTCAGTTAGTGTTCCATAGCAAGGCAGTAAATGCCCTAAGCAGAAATTCTCTAGTTCAGTCGTTATTGAAAAGTACTCATAATGTTTGGTATCAGCCCTGAAAAAAGCTCCACATAAAGGGCTATGCAGTGGAGATTTGTCCCAACTAGCAGTCGAACTTTTACCCTGTATTTTGTGGGCTCAGGCAATTTACTAGTTCCCATTTAGCATGTGCAATTAACATTTCTTAAAAGAACAAATTTATATGTCTTCAGTTTAGGAAACATCTCCCAGTTAGATATAGTACCCATTTTCGTAAGACTTTTCATAAAGGGGTTACAACTACCTTACATAAAGCTTGTTTAAACATCTTAAATTTCATAATTTTATCAACCTTTATGTTTTTACGTTCTGGGTCCCAGATTATATATATATAACATCTTCAGATAACTATTTTACCTTTTCTGGTGAAAAAAAAAAATAAAAGGATTTGGGTTCCCAGCAGGGAGTTGCATCTGTTAGACCTATGAGGGACAGCAAATTTGATAAGGCTTCTTAAACAGTCCTGTGATTCTATGGGACGGGCACCCATGAAAAAGGGACCCCTTAACCCTCAAATTCACCACGACTTGGGTAATAGACATATTTGGTGGGAGGGTGTTTCAGTTACCATAAAGCTAGTCCAACATGGCTTGCACATGAAGCATATTAACTGCTTCATCTGGGGTGCTTCCCTTAGTATTTTATAGGGAGAGTTGGGTAGTCCCCTTCTCAAAGCAAACAGACCTTACATTGGCATTTATCCAGCCCATTAGGCTGCTTGCTTTTTCAGGAATAATCCCCTGTGCATTTGGATCACATATACTCATCAGTGATTGTTCAGTAGTGAGCTGTGGGTCCTGCATTAATCCAAACCAGCTCTTAAATTCTGTACCATTTAAAATTAAGAAGCTGAATGATATCAATGTATGTAATTATTTATTTATTTATTTATTTATTTATTTATTTTTAACATTATACCCTCTGGTTTTACATAGTTACTTGTTTTACCCTTCCTCCATATCAACTATTTTCTTGGGAACCACAGTGTTCAGAGTAAACTTCCATTGCCCTGGCTTGTTTTTTTCTTTTTTTTTTTTCCCCAATTCAGTTAGTTTTATTTGTATACTTTTCTTCATTATAAAGCAACTCCTCATAATAGTTTCTTAAGCAAAAGGAAACCTGCATTTTTGAATATTGACATCTTTGTGTTTTATACAATTTTACCAAAAGCATATTTTATCTCCTACTTTTTTAACTTTTTAGTAACCCAAATTTCCAGTGGCAAGGGGGAAACTCGAGGGTTTAACGTGACTTTAAGATTTTAAATTACTGGAGGTTATTGAGATTAAATTTACTAAACTACTTTTACCAAAGATTACCAAGGTCATGTGAATTGAAAGTCAGCTGGGTTAGTTTCTACCAATCTGATAAGCATTTACATTTTCTAAGTTACTTGATTAGAGCTCTTTCCTGTGGTTTGGTAGTGATATATGAGTTCCACACGACACAAATAAAGATAGGGATATAACAGGCACTCAGAGTAAAATATATGTCCAAAAGATACTTTACTTGCCTGTATTCAAAAAAAATTTTTTCTCCCTTACTTTAGATAGTTAGTAAAAGTTACAGAAGCCAACAAAAGGTGAAGGAGAGAGCCATCATTCAAGGTCTTTTCAAAAGAATAAAAGTGGTACTTTTAAGATATCAATCTGAAGAATGTTAAAGAGGCAGATATTAAAATTTAACAATTTTTCATATTAAAAATAAGTTAATATTTGTAATAAAACTTGTTTTAAACAATTATTTAGTTTTGTATTAGTGCATTTTTAAATATCAACACTCATCTCTAGAAAGACTATTATAATTTCTTTTTAATCACAGCCAACTGAATTATAAAATCTCTTTAAAAATTACTTTTATTAATCTTATTATGACCTACATAGACCATTCACAACGTGCTTAAACTTTCTGTTTTTCCCCAAATATCCCCTTTTCTTGAACAAACCAGTCATTTTATTTTAGGGTAAAAATCCACCACACAACATTATTTCTTACATAAAATTCCTTTCCTTTTTACCTTCTTTACCAAAAAATACCTCTTTGTATCTTTAGCTTTGTGTCTCATTTCCTGATTTCTTTACCTTGTTTTATATATATCCCTTAAATAAGCTTTGAATTAGACAAAGATATTTACCTTTTAATGAGAAATTTAAACAATGTTTAAAATTGGAAATGACCCAGGTACTTAATATCAATTAATGACCTTAGATCTTAAATCGTGATGTTAGTGTACACGTATTTATTCCATTATTTACGTGATTAATTTATTTAATAGTTTAACTAGATTATTTACAAAAACTGTGATAGCCAATATTTAAAGTTATTTGCCTATTAGCAATTTTTTATATCTGTGAATTTCTGGTATTTACTTAAGTAATAAAACATATGGTTTCATTAAAGGGTACTTATTCCAATAACTCAGGATTTAGCTGTTTTCATTAAGCCAACAATATTTCATAAGCATACACAAGCAAAGATAACTCTGTCTTGGGCTGGGTTTTATAGTTTTATAACCCTTATGGCAAATCTTATAGTATTCTGCAGGAATAAACCCGAAATCATTTGATAAAAAAAATACTAACAATTCATAAGACATTGCTAATATCATTTTATCAATACTTTTAAAGACACCTTATTTATTAAAGAGTTTACTTAAGTCACGTGAACAAAAAGCATTTGACTAGTCTTGTTTTAAAGTATCTGATTTAAGCACTTGTATTTTTTAAGCCAATTAATTAGAGCTCTTTTATATATTTTTAGGAGTGAAACATTGTGTACACAACACATAAATAGATAGACGTATTAGGCATGCCAATGGAAGTACCTTTTATTGATTCATAAAGAACCCCCCCACTTTTTTTTTTCCTGTCTTAGACTTTCAGATTCTTGATAACCTGCTGACAACCCTAGGCAGTCGTCAGATAATGACTTATATTTGCATAATAAAGGAAACAACTTAAGTGAAAATCAAATAGCATAAGTAAATCATAAGGTACAGAGAGAAAAAGTCTGGTAGTGCTAGAGAGAGAGATGCTAAAATCAGGCAAAAACAGAATTCAGTCAACTAAGAAGAAAAAAACACTTTTTCCCCCCAAAAAAAGACAAGGTCTTAGAAGAGATAAACAACAAGAAGAAAAAAACGAAAACATGAAAGCTTTTAAAATACAAATACAAACATGCACACATATATGCACACATCATGGATGTTAGCCTTTTAATTAAGCTGACTTTTAACCATTGAGTTCCTTTTAAATAAATATTTTAAAATCTCTTATTACCTTATTTCGGCTAGGACAAAATGCTGCTATTTCAGAAGTACAGCCATTGCTCTTTCAGGTTGGTCTGGCTGGCAAAAAGGTGGTCTTGTTATATAAATAAAGCCCCTTTAGTAGTCAAAATAAAAAATCTTCCCTTTTTTTTTTTTTTTTCCTTTTGCTGGCCATTTTCCTCTCCTAACCATACCACCCTTTTGTGTGTGTGTGAGTTTTTAGCCATTTCAGCAGTCTTGTTCCCCGTGATTTGGCATTCCCCTTCAGATTTGACCAAGCTGGGACATGCGTCGGACTCAAAATGTGCCACTTGCAGACCTAGCTTTTCAGGGCCATTACTCCATGAACCGATTCAGACCACCTGTGTTGTGGCTACGTGGCACAGTGTGTCAGGGGCTCAAGGTCCGGGAGGGGTCATCTCCTTATATACACCTGCCAGCCCTAAGTACATTCTTTTTAGGGGGAAATCTATTTAGAGCCACTGCATATCTCAGGGAGTGTTCCTCCCAAACACCCTCATGTGATTCTCAGTTGCCTGAGAATGCCCCAAAAGGATGAGGCAAGTGCGGTGCTCTTATTTATTTGGAGTAGAAGATTCCACACTCATGAGCTAGAGGGTTATGAGTTGGTCAAATCCGATAAGGGAAAGGACCAAAACACACACACATACACACACACACAAAATCCAACAAGACAGAAACAAACAACAAAACAGTTAAGCAAAACTAAGAATGATCACACAAATTACAAGATTTCTGAGTGCTCTAAGAGTAAGCAGAAATTAATGCCAGGTGGTTGTTAATGCTAACTTTAGTCATTTAAGAAGAATTTGCAAGACAGAATCCCAAATCAGTTTCTTACCTAATGTTGCATCTCAGGCTATAGACTGCTCTCTACCATCTTAGAAGCAGGAAACAAAACAAAACACTAATCTTTCCTGTTGGAAGTGAGCTCAAACTCCATAAAGGAGTTACCGGCCTTCCATCACTATGGAAGCAGGAAAGCTTGCATTCCTCATTGGAAGCAAGTAAAACTCCCAAAAAAGAGGGGTTGTACAGCAAAATAAACTTTAGATATTGATAAAATGTTGGAAGATCAGAGATTTTCTGGAGGGGTGTTCTCAGATCTCAGCAAATTGTCCTATTGGTGTGAGCCATAAAATCTCATGCTGGTACCAAGCACCAATAGAAGATTTGTCAAAGGTCAGAGTCATCTTCACTCAGAATCCCTCTGTGGTTACCAAAAAGGTGAACCCAGAAAATCTGAGACAGGTCTCAGCTAATTTAGAAAGTTTATTTTGCCAAGGTTTAGGACACGCACCCATGATGCAGGCTCAGGAAGTCCTGACAACATGTGTCCAAGGTGGTTTCGGTGCAGCTTGGTTTTATACATTTAAGGGAGGCATGAGACATCAGCCAAGTATATTTAAGAAATACGTTGGCTTAATCCAGAAAGCTGGTGCAATTCAAAGTGGGGGCTTCCAGGCTACAGGTAAATTTAAACATTTTCTGGTTGACAATTGGTTGAGTTTGTCTAAAGACCTGGGATCAGTAGAAAGGAATATTTGGGTTGTGATAACAGTTGTGGAGACCAAAGTTTTATCATGCAGATGAAGCTTTTAGCTAACAGGCTTCAGAGGAAAACAGGCTGTAAAATGTTTCTTAACAGACTTAAAGTCTGTGTTGATGCTGATGCTGGAGATGTATAATGAAGCATGTCTGACCCCCACTTCCCTTCATGGCCTGAACCAGTCTTTCAGGTTAAATTTTAAGAGCCCTGGCTGAGGAGAAAGTCCATTTAGGTGATTGTGGGTGGGCAGGGGGTGGTTAGGATTTTATTTGGTTTACAAATTTTAATCCCCGATGTTGGAAGTGGGCGTTGGTGGGAGGTGAGAGGTGAGTGGATCATAGCAGTGAGTTTTCCCCTTTGATGCTGTTCTGGTGATAGAGTTCTCATGAGATCTGGTTGTTTAGAAGTTTACAGCACCATCCTTCTCTCTCTCTTTCTCCTGCCCTGGCCATGTAAACACGCCGCTTCCCCTTCTGCCATAACTGAAGGTTTCCTGAGGCTTCCCCAGAAGCCGTCAAGCTTCCTGTAGAGTTTGTGGAACTCTGAGTCCATTAAACCTCTTTTCTTTATGAATTACCCAGTCTCAGGTATTTTTTAATAGCAGTGTGAGAATGGACTAATACTGGGATACTTGGATTCATACTAGGCAGTTGTAGAAGATAAAACAATATAAACATAATAGGGATAGACAGGGCATAGTTTCCTTTTTTTATTTTTATTTTTTCATTTACATTCTTTTTTATGCTTTAAGTTCTGGGCTACATGTGCAGAACATGCAGTTTTGTTACATAGGTATACATGGGCCATGGTGGTTTGCTGCACCCATCAACCCATCTTCTACATTAGGTATTTCTCCTAATGCTATCCCTCCCCTAGCCTCCCATCCCCCAACAGCCCCCAGTGTGTGATGTTTCCCTCCCTGTGTCCATGTATTCTCATTGTTCAACTCCCACTTATGAGTGAGAACATATGGTGTTTGGTTTTCTGTTCTTGTGTTAGTTTGCTGAGAATGATGGTTTCCAGCTTCAGCCATGTCTCTGCAAAGGACATGAACTCATCTTTTTTTATGGCTGCATAGTATTGCATAGTGTATATGTGCCACATAGTTTTCATTTCCAAATCTAGACTTTGGATTTTGTGTGTAGTTGACATTGTGCTGAGAGAGTCGGGCTCACCCTCAGGAATGAAAATTCAGTTTCCATTTGTTGGGAGGACTGGCTCCCTTCCTCAGTTAAGGATGATGCTGATGAGTTACCTCAGGTGTTGTGAATGCATCAAGTATCACAGCTGAACTCCTGCCTCCGTCCCATCCTACTCACTTCCCTGCCCCCACAGGCATTTATCTGGGCATATCTCTGAATAAGGAAAACACACTGTTTTTACACTATACTCTCGGCTATTCTCACTTCTGACATCAAATGTTAATTTTCGTTTTCCCACACCAAGCAATTCCCCAATTCTTTGCAGACACAAACTGAATGCCCTACAATTTAGCTCAATTCGGACACTGTCTACCTGGAGAGAGCGTAAAATCCCACAGATTAAGAGGTCAGATCCACAAGACTTCCCCTATGTCAGATACCAATAACAAGTCCAATTTGTTACCTGTGCTTCGGGCTGACTGGCTGTAAGTCAGAGATTCCCATGTCCCCTTTCTCAGGTTCCACCATTTGCTAGAATGGCTCACAGAACTCAGGAAAACTTTGCTTAGGGTTAGCATATTGTTATAAAGAATAAAACTCAACAGCAGCCAGATGGAAACGCTGTATAAGGCAAGGTATGAGGGAAGGTGCACTGAGCATTCATGCCCTCTCCACGTGCTCCACCCTCTGGATGCCTCCAGCACATCCAAGTGCTCACCAGCCTAGAAGCTCTGCAAACCCCATCCTCTTCGGTTTTTATGGAGGCCTTATTACATACACATGACTGACTCAATCATTGGCCATTAGTGACTGACTCAACCTCCAATCCCTCTTTTCTCCCAGAATATCAAGGTAGGGACTGAAAGTCACAATCACTTAGTTGGTTCCCCTGGCAACCAGCCCCTATGCTAATGCTATCCAGTAACTGCCCCCCAGCACCAGTCCTCTCACTAGCATACAAAAGACACATCATCTCAAAGATTGCAAGAGTTTTAGAAGCTGTATGCTGGGTCATGGGGGCAGAGATCAAATATATTTCTTATTATATTACAACTTCCTAATAAACTTGATGCACACTAATCCCTATTGGAGAATCTATTTTCTTGGGAACTTGACTTTTAATAATCGCAAAATATGAAAAAAAGGTATTATAGAATATTTAAGATGCAAAAAAGTACATAAGACAGTTAATACAATTGCTTCTTTTCTTTTTTTTTTTTTCCTTTTTTTATTTGCGACGGAGTCTTGCTCTGTCGCTCAGGCTGGAGTGCAGTGGCGCTATCTCGGCTCACTACAACCTTCCTCTCCCAGTGAGAGACAGGACTAGCTGGATTTCCTAGGCCGACTAAGAATCCCTAAGCCTAGCTGGGAAGGTGACGCATCCACCTTTAAACACAGGGCTTGCAACTTAGCTCACACCTGCCCAATCAGGTAGTAAAGAAAGCTCACTAAGATGCTAATTAGGCTAAAACAGAAGGTGAAGAAATAGCCAATCATCTATCGCCTGAGAGCCCAGGGGGAGGGACAATGATCGGGATATAAACCTAGGCATTCCAGCCGGTGACGGCAACCCCTTTTGGGTCCCCTCCCATTTTGTGGGAGCTCCGTTTTCACTCTATTAAATCTTGCTGCTGCACAGTCTTCTGGTCTTTCTCAGGGCTGGAGCTGAGCTGAGCTTCCGCTTGCTGTCCACCACTGCTGTTTGCCCGTTGCAGATCCGCCGCTGACTTCCACCCTTCTGGATCTGGCAGGGTGTCAGCTGTGCTTCTGATCCAGCTAGGCGCCCATTGCCACTCCCGATTGGGCTAAAGTTTTGCCATTGTTCCTGCACAGCTAAGTGCCCAGGTTCGTCCTAATCGAGCCGAACACTAGTCGCTGGGTTCAACGGTTCTCTTCCATGACCCACAGCTTCTAATAGAGCTATGACACTCACGCACGGCCTAAGATGCCATTTCTTGGAATCCGTGAGGCCAAGAACCCCAGGTCAGAGAACAAGAGGCTTGCCACCATCTTGGAAGTGACTGCCACCATCTTGGGCGCTCTAAAAACAAGGATCCCCCGGTAACACCGGGTTCAAGTGATTCGCGGGCCTCAGCCTCCTGAGTAGCTAGGATTATGCACCACGCCAAGCTAATTTTTGTATTTTTAGTAGAGATTGGGTTTCACCATGTTGGTTAGGCTGAATTGCTTTTCTTTTAACATGTTTGAGTTTAAGTTTCTCCTCTTCTCTCCAAAGCACCAATAAAATGATATAAAAAAGAAAAAACTATAAAAGAGCAGAAAAAAAAGATAAAAGAAAAAACACTCAGTGAAAAATTTCTACAAATTTCTGCAAAACAGAAAGAATGTGAGGGTCAGTAGTCATGAAAAGGAAAGCAATAAAAAGAAGTAGCCCAAGATAAAACAGGAGTAGGCTACAATGGGGGAGAAAGCCAAGGGTTGTTAAAACAGAAAGTAACAACTAAAAGTCCTTCTCAAATTCGATGTATATTACAATGGTAAATATACAATCAACAAAAGGAATAAAATAACAAATTTCATTGATTAAGAGGAAGTGGGGACAGAAGGCTTTGTATATTTAAGATAAATCTCATCTTTCCTTGGAAGGCCTCAAGAGACATTGTTGCTGAACACAGGTTTGCCCACTCTCCACTTGCAAAATCAAATAACAAGCACGAGGGCGGTAAAAAGAAAGTGCTTAATTCCCAAGCTTAGCAATGGGAAAGGGCTAGATTCATATGTAAATGACCCACTTCAGCTTTGTGGGCAGAAAGCAGGGTTTTAAGAAGAGAAATTTTGGTATGCAGGGTATGCAGAAGAGGCATGGAGGTGGTGGTTTATGTGACTTTCTTGGGGACTCATCTCAATTAATAGGTCATCTGGTAGTCGGGCTGGCACCACTGCAGACAGATTCGGCCTGTAGTTTCCTGGTGGGGGAGAATTCTGGAGGGTGCTTGGTTTGTTTCAAGACTTGGTCCCTGGATCTTCTAAGCAAACATACAGCTAACAATGCTTGTAGGCACTCTGGCCAGAGGAAAGGAAGGTAAAGGTTACGTTTGCATTCCTGAGATGCTAAGTGAGAGGTGAACACAAGGAAGAAGAGAGAAGTAAAGATAACTTTTGTCCTTGCGATACTTTGCTGAGAATGATGGTTTCCAGCTTCATCCATGTCCCTACAAAGGACATGAACTCATCATTTTTTATGGCTGCATAGTATTTAAAAAAAAAAAAAGATAACTTTTAAGAAAATGGCATACTCAGTTACAGTACATTCAATTTATAACTTTAGACTGGTATATGGTAACTAAGGCTAGATAATGGAAAACAATTCTATATTCAAAATGTATTTAAAAAGTGAGATATATTAGGGGTAAGAAAGGTTAGGGAAAATATATGGGTGTGTGTTTTGTTTGTTTGTTTGTTTGTTTTTGCAACAGTGACTTTGCCTAGTTTAGAGGTTATTTAAAGAATGGATTAAACTGAGAGAATAAAAGGAAAAAGAATGAGATGGATTAACTGAATGGATATAGAACGTTGGGAAAAAAGAATAAAAATTGTGAAAGCTTAAAAAATGTTTACAGAAATCTTGTGTAGTCAAAGCTAGTTGAGGTTTGATGGATCTCTTTAGAAGCTTCCATTAAAATTAGGTTTACTATTTATAATACACTGATGCAAAGTACCATTCCGTTTTTTCTTTTGAACACGATGTTTATATATTATTCATAAGATAGTAAAAGACACTCAGTTTTCCAAACAATCAAAAGACCTAAGAAAGATAGCATGAGACCAACAGAATCTGTTTCTCTTTCTCCCTCTTCCCTTACTCCCTTTTTAACAGATTACTCAAAAGATATACAAACAACTCTATAATTAACCTAACACTCTATGGTCATTCAGTAATGATAGTCAATAGCTCATCAATGTTATTTCTGTAAATCAATTAGAATTCCTTACAAATAACTTTTGTAATTGCAACTATTCAGATTCATCCTTTTTTCTTTAAAGACTTGAGCCTCTCCTTTGTTCTCTTGAGCACTTCCCAAGGTAACTTGGAAGTGTTTCTGGGCTTCAGCCCTCAATATTCACTCAAATAAACTGTTTATTATTACCTTAGCCTCAATTTCTTTCTTTATGTTGACAGTATTGCTATTAGTTTTCAAGATTGGGTGACTAAGAAAACAGAAGCAGGACTTTTTTTTGGTTGGTAGTTTTTTAACTACAATTTCAATCTCACTGCTTGTTATTGGTATGTTCAGGTCAGGGTATCTAATTCTTCCTGACTTAAGCTAGGAGGGTTGTATCTTTCCGGGAATTTATTCATCTCTTCTAGGTTTTCTAGTTTATGTGCATAAAGATGTTCATAGTGTGGCAGGCCAGGTTTCACTAATGCAGGCTTCCATCACCACTGTTTCAGTACTGACTGAGTGGTTAAGTTCAATATTAAAAGCTAAAAAAGGAAGCCAGTGCTCTTATACAAAGACTGGGATAGAACAAAAGCCCATCAAGAGTTTTGCCTAGGCCTTTCCTGGGCCTTAAAGCATGACAAAATAGCAAAGGAATTCTTAACGGGACTTATTTTGGATTGAACAAGTTTTATTGGAGTCTGAATAAACTCCTCAGGCCTTCACAAACAAGTTTATTGGGGGTCTGAAGGAACTCCCCAAAACTCCGTGATGTAGCAGGAGGCAAGATAAGGGTAATCACCCCATTTAGAGTCAGTAAACTTACTGAGGTTCCAGAAGAAGGTCTTCAGGACTGAGACCTTAGGTATAGATGAAAAGAAGTCAATCACTTACGTCTTTAAATGAATGCACACTTACATGTATATGTATAGCTTAGAAGGTATATAAGCTCTGAAAAACTTTGTAATTTTGAGTTGGTCAGGTGATAATTTCCAGGCCTTCTTCCTGTAACCAGTTACAGAAATAAAACTCTCTTTCTCCCCAGTTCATCTGCATCTTGTTATTGGGCCATGAGAAACAGCAGCCTGACCCTCAGTTGGGTCCAGGAACAATAGTAGCCTTGAATGATCTTTTGTATTTCTGTGGTGTCAGTTGTAATATCTTTTATTTCATTTCTTAGAGGTTATTTGAATTTTCTTTCTTTTCTTGGTTAATCTTGCTAATGGTCTCTCAATTTTATTTATCTTTTCAAAGAATGAGCTTTTTGTTTCATTTATCTTTTTTATTGTTTTATAGTGGCACAGTTTTCAAGTTCAAAATCATAGAACCAAACCAAATGACCATCAAATAAAGAGTAGATAAAGAAACTGTGGTATATATATACAATGGAATACTGCTTAGCCATAAAAAGGAATAAACAGCATTCGCAGCAACCTGGATGAGATTGGAGATTATACTCTAAGTGAAGTAATTCAGAAATGGAAAACCAAACATCATATGTTCTCAGTGATACGTGGAAGCTCAGCTATGAGGACACAAAGGCATAAGAATGATACAATGGACTTTGGGGACTTGGTGGGGAAAGGTGAGAAGGTGGTGAGGGCTAAAAGCAAATAGTGTGCAGCGTATACTGCTCGGGTGATGAGTGTACAAAATCTCATAAATCATCACTAAAGAACTTATGTAACCAAACACCTCCTGTACACTAATAACCTATGGAAAAATTAAATAAACAAATAAAATAGCTAATTAAGTTAAAAGAAACAAACAAAAAACAAACAAATGGAAGCAGCAGGACAGGAAGAAACAGTCGTCAGTAACAGCAGCTGTTTAGAAGGATCATTGTAAACATTTTTGGTTTAGATGCATGTAGAATAAATCCTAAAACCTGTTCAGCAGGCCACTGGAATGGGACAATAACATATGGGAAACAGTTAAACTGTATATTCTATTATGTTACTTTAAACAAAATATTTTGGAATGTTAATCATCAGGCTTCCTATACATTCTTCTCTTTCCCTTTTGATTTAAGGGGATGGAAGTACCTTGAAATTGTCCAGGATTGTTACAGCAGAAATGCAAAGAGAGGCTAGGCTGGGTGTGGTGGCTCACCCCTGTAATCCTAGCATTGTGGGTAACCCCGGTAGGAGGACTTCTTGAGTCCAGGAGTTTGAGACCAGCCTGGGCAACATAGCGAGATGCTGTCTTCGAAAAACAAGGGAAAAAGAAAAAAAAAAAAAGAAAAGAAATGTAAAAACAAAGACACAGCAAAAAAAAAAAAAAAAAAAAAATTAAAAAGTCCTAACTAGGCCCTTGACAGTCAACAGTCTAGGAACAGACAGGATGAGAACATCAAATTGATCACACAGAAAACTTTAGAAAGTGTATAGAAAGGAAAAGAAAGAAATGGTTGGTGGCCCACGTAAGAGTAAAGGAGAATCATATGGAATTGAACAGGGTTGACAGAGTGACAGGCTTATGGTCATGAAGGAAGGCCAGCGTCAAAGACAAAAGGATGTGTTCTGGAGGATTTGCGTACACTCATCAAAAGATAGGAGCAGTATGTGGCCAGCCAAGTGCAAGACGACGTAACAGCTGAAAACTGTAACTCTTCATTCAAGCAAGCAGCTCACCCCATCTGAAGAGAGGCCAGATGGGCTTCACCTTCCTACAGAACAAATGCTTCCCATTGACCATTGCTTTTAAACCACCAGAGCCTCTTTCAGCAGAGAATGCCCTTTTGTGCTGTGAAATTTTTTGAGTCCCCGTCAAAACTCCCTTGTTTGCTTTGCCACAACCAAAGACATTTGTAAGCATCTCAAAAGCACAGAAGGCCCTTGACTTCTAAAGGGACTGTGGTAAGATAAGCTTTGGAGGATAATGGGGCTGGGCGTGGGGAAAGGCATACTTACATTATTCAATTTAGCAGTTAATCATATATTAGCATATTGTCGCTTTATTTTATGATGTCTATAAATGCTGTTTTTTTTCAAATTTAGTAAAGTCTTGATTTAAAAAGACATTCTTCTGCAATAATCTCATGTTCTCACATAGAACAAGGCCTATAATGAACATTCATTAACACTTGTTGACTTAATTCTTAAAGATTAGAAATGTTTCATTATATTCCCATTATATTCCTTGAGGACTTTTTAAATCCCACTTACAGTTATGCTGTATTCTGAAAAAGACTGATTTAAAAGATAAGTATGAATACATAAAAAATATTAAGTATACCCTGAAATGACCAAACATTGTTGAAATACATATATTTTTTTTTTGAGACAGAGTGTCACTCTGTTGCCCAGGTTGGAGTACAGTGGCACAATCTCAGCCCACTGCAACCTCCAACTCCCGGGTTCAAGCGATTCTCGTGCCTTAGCCTCCTGAGTATCTGGGATTACAAATGTGTGCCACTACGTCTGGCTAATTTTTGCATTTTTTGGTAAATACAGAGTTTTACCATGTTGCTGGTCTCGAACTCCTGACCTCAAGTGATCCGCCCACCTCAGCCTCCCACAGTGTTGGGATTACGGTGTGATCCACCACGTCCAGCCGGAAATACATTTTTAAAGAGACCTAAATTGATGGAAAGACAGCCTGTGTTCATTGATTGGAAGACATACTACTGTTAAGATGGCAATACACACACATACACACACACATGCACACATGTAACCCATGTTTACAGGCATGTCTGTATTTATTTCTCTATCTGGCTAGCTGTACACACATGAGGGCATATTGATGACTCCAATTCCCACCCACAAGAATCATTCTAACATTCCTTCCCTCATTTCTCATTTGTAACTTCTTTCTCCAGCAGTGAGAAGCCTGGCTCTTATCACCTATAGTATATTTACTTATTTGTTCAACACTTGTATACATATAGTTTCTCCATATTCCTTTCAAAACCTAAATCAGACCACTCCTTTGCTCAAAACCCTCCCATGCCTCCCATTTCATTTAGAGTAAACCCAAAGTCCTTGACCTCCTCTGACCTACAAGGCCGCATGTGCTGTGCATCCTCAATACATATTGATTGACTTACCCCTCCTTTTCCTTTCGCCTGAGATACCTTGACCCCCTTGCTGTACCCCACAGGCTAAGTGATGGGAAGGGATTTCTTGAGAATTGGAATAGGAAACTCGTTGGTATAATAGAACTATTTTGCATTTTGACTTTGGTGGTGGTAACGCAACTATATACATCTGTCAAAGTTCCTTGAACTACACATTAAAATTAGTGAATTTCATTGTATGTAAAGTGTGCTGTGATGAAGTTGAATTTTCTAAGAAGACATGTATTTCAAGCCATGCTCTCTGTGATACCACCCATTTGGAATGTTAGTTTGATGTTTCTAAAGTACTCTGAAGTACTTTGGGAGGCTGAGGCAGGAGGATCACTTGAGGCCAGAAGTTCAAGATCAGCCTGGGCAACATAGTGAGGCCTCATTTCTAGTAAACAACAACAACAACAAAAAAATTACCTGGGCATGATGGTGTGCCTGTAGTCCCAGCTACTCAAAAGGCTGAGGCAGAAGGATTGCTTGAGCTCATGACTTTGAAGATGCAGTGAGCTATGATCACCACTGCACTCCAGCCTTGGTGACAGAACAAGACTCTGTCTCCAAAAATAAAATATTTAAAATAAATAAATAAATAAATAAAGTATTAGTATACAGAGAGCTATTCTTTCCTTTCTCACTCTTTTTCATTTGCTGTTCTTAGTAGGTCTCTCTGTGGGAACAGAACATTCTCTTCAAACATAAAAAATGCCCAAAGAAAGAACATATAACCCAGTTTGTGCTAGTCTCTGAAATATTTCAAACCTATGCTCATTTCCTTTATCTCTTTCTTTTTTTTTTTTCTGGTATTCACTTCTTTGCTACTTCAGTTTTTTGGTCTTTCTTTTATTTATATTGAAAAGCCTGGTAAAAAGCGAATGCATTTGAAGCCTAAATATTTTTAAAGCAAGCTTTGCTAGTAAAAATGACTGAGGTTTCTTTGACCTCTAACTTCTTCTGCTGTAAGGGCTTACATATTTTCTCATCTTATTTGGCATAAGGTTCAGAAAATCACCTGGAAGTGATTTTGAGATACCACTCAAAATCACCAGGTGCCTTTTATCATGTGCCTTTTATCATGAGGCATTGTGCAGCACATTTACATTATATTTTTATATATAGAAAACTAAAAAAGTCTCTGGTTGGTTTCATAACTCCTAATAATAAGGCGTATGTTTGAACTATTCTACATGGTCATAAACAAGTAGACACAGAATTAATTTTTGCATTGATCTGTACCCTTAATGCACAGGGATTACATATACACTTTAAGCTATGGGTACAGTAGAAAATCTATCTTTCTTAAAGAGCCACAGATTACTATTACTATTATTATTATCATTATTATTGTTATTATTTTAGAGATGGCATCTTGCTATGTTGCCTTGGCTGGACTCAGGCTCAAGAGATCTTCCTGCCTCATCTCACAAAGTAGCTTGGACTACAGGAACACTACTGTTTTTATCCAATGTCTTTGATTAAAAGAATGAAGCCAAGTCTATTCACATGAAAAATACTTAGACTTTTACTTTGTCAGTGTTTTATTTTAAAGTCTTTAACTATTTTTTCATTTACTTCCAGAAGACTGTCAAGTATAAATTTGAAAGTCACTAGAATCATACATAAATTGATTTAAAAGTCTGTATCCTGTCCAGACATGGTGACTCACAGCTGTAATCCTAGCACTTCGGGAGGTCAAGGTGGCTGGATCATTTGAGATCAGGAGTTCAAGACCAACCTGGCCAACATGGTGAAATATCGTCTCTGCTAAAAACACACAAAAAAAATTTAGCCGGGCATGGTGGTGGGTGCCTGTAATCCCAGCTACTCAGGAGGCTGAGGCAAGAGCATCACTTGAACCCAGGAGGCAGAGGTTGCAGTGAGCTGAGATGGTGCCACTGCACTCCAACCTGGGTGACAGAGTAGGACACCATCTCAAAAAAGAAAAAAAAAAGTCTGTGTCCTAATATGTGCCAGACATCAAAGCGAGCATAAGATTAGAAAGTTGAGTGTTATGATTAGTGAAGTACATACTGACCTGGTGTATCTGGTCTCCACATATGTAGACTGGCATATTATTGGGTCAGGAATTAGTAGAAATCAGTAGGGAAAAAAAGCTGCAGTGCTACTGATACAGTTTTAGGAGCTGTGCCTGCATCAGCTTATGTTGACCTCTTTAGTACTCCCTACTGTGTAGCAATATCTGAAAAATGTAGTCTGTCTATGTATGTGAATCTCCGCTGTCAGATTCGGTGTCCATGAGAAAACTTTGTGAATCTTTCATTTGATCTTAGGTTAATAGATAACAAATATAGTTGTCTTTTTTTTAAGTGTAGAAAGCTTTAGTTTGAGAGACATCCTTATCTTATTTCTAATAGGAAGATGGACAAGTATTAGCATATTTTGAACCCCAGTAGACACCGATCGACTGTTTTACTCAATCTCTTTGGGAGCTCAAAAGATTTCTCTGAAATTCATATCTTATACTAGTAACCTTATTATAGTGTTTATATCATGCACTCTAAATTTATCCTGTGTTTTATTTCTAGCTCTGCTCACTACTAAAATTGTGAATTCAAGCTCATTTGCTACAGAAGTTTGATCTTCTATAAAATGTGATGGATAATAATAATGCATACCTCAGGGTAGAGTTTTCAGGAATGAGAATTTACTTAACAAATTTAATTCAAAGCCTACAATATATAAGCATTAGGAATGTTAACTCTGGTACAATTATTATTTTTATTACTCATTTATTTATTTTAAGCAGGATCTTGCTCTGTAGCCCTGGCTGGAGTGAAGTGGTGTAATCATAGCTCACTGCAAACTCCACCTCCTCTGAGCTCAAGTGATTCTCATGCCTCAGCCTCCCAAGTAGCTGGGACTACAGATGTGCACCACCATACTCATCTAATTTATGTAGTTTGTTTTTAGAGAGGGGGGTTTGCCATGTTGCCCAGGCTGGTCTTGAACTCTTTAGCTCAAGTGATCCACCTGCCTCAGCCTCCCAAAGTGCTGGGATTACAGGAATGAGCCACCACTCCTGGCCCAATTATTATTTATAAATACAAATAAAAGTTAAATGAATAAGGATATTTATCTAGTTACAAAACTAGTTTTACAATCAAGTTGTACTTCAGTGTCATCCTTTAGGTTTTGAATTCACCTCCAAAGCTTTTCTTTTGTATTGCTTAGCTCTAAGTATTCCTCATCATTTTTACCTAATTTCTTCTTCTCAAATCATAATTTATTGTTCAAAATTATGTCATAAATAATAACAGTCAACAGAACATGACATAACTCTATAATCCTTGGTGAAATAAACAGTATTTGTAGCCCTAATGTTTTGGATTAAAAGAATGAAGGCCAGGTTGTACGCATGAAAAATATTTAAGCTTTTCTGTTATAGTATTAGATTTTAGTCTTTGAAGATAGAAACAAATCTATCACCCATGCCAACACAGGTCATGACATATATTGGGAACTCAGTAAATATTTCAAAAGAAATTTTGCCTCTGGATAATACATTAATTTTGGTAACCTAATGATTTCTGTAGATAGCTACACCATCAGATTGATGATGGACATTAGCAAAATCATTATTGTAGCTATAATTACTGTCTTCTCTGTTATATAATTCTACCATTAACTTTAAATTATTCTTAAATGAAGGATTTTATCTCTAAAAATTACTGAAGGAAAAGATTTCTATGACAATGGCTGATATGAATAACTATACAAATTAATAATGAAGAGTGTTTCTCCAGATACTTGGGTGGTCATATATTTCAGAGATAAAATGATGTACATGTGGAAATATATATGCAATCATTTCCTCAAAAAGCAATTAGCTTGAAGTGGGCAACAATGTTATTCCATTGTAACTAGCATTTTGACACAAAATTGAGGATTAACGACTACACTTTATTTCTCAGAAATAGTCCTAATCTGACTGTAATCCAGGGTTTTGAGGAGTATCACATAGTTCATATATGATATGGTTTGGCTGTGTCCACCCCAAATCTCATCTTGAATTGTAACTCCCACAATTCCCACGTGTTGTGGTAGGAACCCGGTGGGAGGTAATTCAATCATAGGGGTAGGTCTTTCCCATGCTGTTCTTGTCATAGTGAATAAGTCTTATGAGATCTAATGGTTTTAAAAACAGGAGTTTTCCTGCACAAGCTCTCTCTCTCTTTGCCTCTCACCACCCATGTAAAACGTGACTTGCCCCTCCTTGCCTTCCACCATGATTGTGAGGCCTCCCTAGCTATGTGGAACTGTAAGTCCATTAAACCTATTTCTTTCATAAATTGCCCAGTGTCGGGTATGTCTTCATCAGTAGCATGAAAACGAACTAATACAATATGGACTGATTCTTTCTATTATTTGTAGTTGATTCTATGTGTGTGAATTAAACTGTAATTACTTTAATAATATTAGCAATAATTTTTGATTTCTAGAAATCTTTCTATATTAAAATGATTTTGAATATTATGTGATATTTTGAAACAGACAATTGAAAGAAAAAGATTATTTCTGTGCAAACATTCTAGTTCATTTCTAATATACAGACAAAAAAATTCCTTACAGTAGTATAACTTCTTTGAATCTTTTAAAAAAATTGCTGGAAATAGCTTTATCTATCCAACAGCTATGTAGAAGACACATATAGGCTTTTATATAGTGAATTTTTCTTTTTTCAAAAAGAATGGTGGAATTGTCTAACTCATTTCACCATCTAGCCTCTTTGGAAGACTAAGAAGAGGTGAGTAATAATTTCTATGTTGGAGTTATAAAACATTTTCTAGTACATACAGTTGCTTTTTAAAAAACACAATGTGAAACACGATTTCCCCTCTGGGATTGTGGAGTCCCTCAGCAATTGAGAGAACTAAGGTTAATGTTAACTTATTCCCAAGAAAATTATTACTGTTAATATGCTGATAATTGTATACACAGTAGCCACCAGGCTCAAACAGAATAACACCAGAGTTAAGAGACCAGATGTCTTCTTTTAAAATATGACAGTTGTGTAAATTGGTCTTTTCTTTAACTATGCCTATTCTAAGCCACTGGCTTTGACGTTGCCAGCTCTGTAAAGACATGGAGAAAACTGAACCAGGGCCAAGAACTTCATGGGAAATGTGATTTCAAGAAATCTCTATTATAAAAAAAGTAAATATACAGTTTCTTCAACAGTTGAAAGCTCAACATAAAATAATTGGAGAAGAGAAAGAAGCAAGTGACTCAAGAAAACCAGCTTCTAAGCGTATACTTTATACCAAGTCATGTATGCCTGAGTAGTAGGAGTGAGCCTTGAACCTCGTTCTGCCTGACATTCTGTAACTTTTCACTAAGTACTTTGAGTTTTATCTTCAAAATCTCTTTCCAGTGCATTTGTCTGAAAGCATCAAGTTAGAGACAAATATACTTTCTCTTGGATGAAAAAACTTTCAATTCACTCTTGTCTCCCTCCAATATTTTTACTGGATCCAGAGAGATATTTTAAAATGGAAATATAAATACTTCGCATCATGTTTTTACTTAAAAGTATTCACCATCTTCCTATTGCTCCTAGGTAAAAATTAAAAATTTTTATTGTGGAACATGAGACCTTAAGTAATCTGACCCCTGCCTCTCTTTACGGTTCTAGCCCATATCATTCTCTCTCATGTCTTTTATTTCTTTTTTTAAAAAAATTTCTTCACGCAAACATGATTTCTCTCTTTATAAGAAATTGCACACACTCATTTGCTTCAAACACTCTTTTCTCTTTCCACTACATCATTTTTGGCTAGATAACAGAGTGGTCCCTTGGTATCCATGTGGAATTGGTTTCAGGAACTTCCTGCCCCCAGATACCAAAATCCATGGATGTTCAAGTTTCTAATATAAAATGGCATAGTATAGTATTTGCAGGTAACCATATATGTTATATTTGCTATAACATTACTGAAGTAGATGATTTTAGTAATCTACTTTAAATCATCTCTATTTATAATACTTAATACAATGTAAATGCTATGTAAATCATCATTATAATGTATTTTTATTTATATTTTTACTTGTTACACTGTTATTAATGTTTCCAAATAGTTTTCATGCACAATTGGTTGAACCTGCAGACTTGAAGGGCAGACTGAATATACGTATCTCATTTGCCATTTGCTCTGAAAATTTTCTTGAACCCTGATATTATATCATGTACTTAATAGCACCTACTTGTTTCCTTTAACTGTACTTTTAAAATAATTTACTTAGAGATGCATTTGTGCAGTTGTTTGATTAGTATCACTCACTGCTCCACTGAGCTTTGGACTGATAACAAAAGACACCATGTTTATTTTTTTCACTACTGTATCTATTGTATTTGCCTGTTGCCATCCATATAGTCAGCTCTCAGCTTATGTATTTTAAGGAATGATTAAATAAGCAATTGAATGAATGAGTAAATAAATGAATTGCGTAAAATAAAATATCATGTGCAAACATTTAGTCCGCTCTTTTTCATGAGTCTGGCTGTGGCTAAGACATTATCAGTGATGTAACACTATGCCAGTTCCAAGCTGAGACCTCGAGAGACATAACGTCTCATATTCTTCTGTGTTCTGCCATCTGCCATGAGAAACATACCCCAGGTAGTATAACCCCTGAATGTGCACACACATGAACTCAGCTTATCGCTTAGAGTCAAGATAGCTGATCTGAGACGAGCTCTGTAGGTCCAGAGCTGATCCACCTGTGAGTGAGAGATCAACTCTTTGTATAGGCTACTCAGTGTTTAAGACACTTGCAATAATAAATGACTGATACATTTCTAAATATATAAATGTACTTGATTATGAATTACAGTGGGAAACAAGGCCATTCATTAAAGTTCGGCAAATATAGTACTTTAACCTATTTGATATACACATATTTATATATAATTTATACATGAAGTAAAATTACGTTATATGTACTGTTTAAATATATAAATATTTAAGTATATATTTGAATATATACTATTTATATATTAATATATACTATTTATATATTAATATATAACATAATATACATTTAAATTTCCTCTTGCTGTTTAAGAAAATTACTCTAATTCTCATTAAAATGCTTAATTAAACCTTATAAAAGATGAAATGGGTTGCATTATTTTATACTTATGAAGAAGATTGTTTTCCTTATTTTAATGTAATACTTTTTACAAGTTATAGCCATTTAAACTCAGTATTGCTTTACTCTTTTTCGCTAAAATTAGGCACTGGAAGAAGTTGACTTTTGTAGATTCCTTGAAATTCTCAGTTCTATCTTCTAAACCATGTACTTATGCCTGGCAGAGAAATGTCTTTGAAACTTAACTATGGCTAGATTTTATTTTTCTTGTTCCCTTCCAAGAACTGCGGATAAATTGAAACAATAAGTTTATGTCTGCAGCACTCATTGCATTGCTGTAGCGAATTTCTGTGACTTCTCATGAGAAGACCAACTGTACAGTGGTTACCTGCAGGGCATGTGTTTCTAATGAACGGCAAGTGTGGGAAGCTTCAGTCATTAAAAACTCCAGGCAGAAACTATTTCTAGGAGCACATGCTGATGCTCACCAGCAGTGGTGCATAATAGTAAAAAAAAAAAAAAAACAGGAATTACCTTTTTATAAAAAGCATATACATTTCAAGTTTTCCAGAAAGGCATATTTTAGATTCCTTAGTATCTAAATACTATACCTTCTTAACATCTTATTAGTCTCTTTTCGAATTTCTTTGAACTGCAAGAAACATTAATGTTCCTCTAATCCAGTTTTATCAACTGTGACTATAAAATCAAATTATCTGTGTACTTTCAATGTTTACTGATTCTCAGACTCACCCAAGATAGATTCTGATCACAAGGCCTGAGCAAGGGTAGTTTTTAAAAAGCTCCCAGATTAATTTAAAGATACATTCATGTTTGAGATTGTTGATACTAGTCTAATACCTTTAATTTATAAAGGAGACTGAAGCCCAGAGAAGTAAGATGATTTACCCAAGGTGGCCAAGAAAGTAAGTATAATTGTTAGTAAGACCCAGTTCCATAGTACAATATTTTTTCTAATAGGGAAAAGGCTCCTCTTGATCTGCCTGTATGCAAACCAGGATTTGACTCTTATATTTACTAATCATAGCATGTCTCCACATAACTGAGAGAGTTCATAAGCATGTCTGTTACATTTCTTTAGTATATGGTGAAGATTATGAAAATGAAAATAGAGAAGCAAGGAAAAGGTTGAAGAGGTAGGGTTTTTATAAATGTGAAGTAACGGTCACAATTGTATGATTTCAAATAAAAAAATAAGATTGTATACAGAAAACAAATCTAAGTAAATATTGAATCTTCATTAGTACACTATTTACTTTGTAAATTAACCTCTTCTAGATTAACAGAGTGGTAATTGCTGATGAAAGAGGATTAAATGTAAACATTGACAATTAACGGATACATTTTCTAAACTTCTTTTTCTTTCCAAAGGAGAGTGTATTGTATTTAATGCAATATAATTCAATACATTTTACTATGGAACTTTGTGATTTTTGCATACTCAGTGAAACATACATATTTATCATAAGAGGGAGTATGGACACTGACATGGTAAGGAGAGTGAAGAACTCTGCAAATATTAACATGCTCACTGTTGAAAAGCATTCATTAGCATTATTGGACAAATGAATCTCTTATTAAAGATGATATTGTTAATAACGCCATCAGAATTCAGTGTTGTCTGAGTCATATGACTGGAAGGCTCAGAGTGTCTAAAAGTTCCCTTCTCTTTTGGTGACTTCTAAATGTATCTCTGGGAAAGCTGAGTCTGTGTTAATGCCTGCTTAATCGCAACAAGGTCATTTTTAATGAACAGAAGTTAATTAGGCCCAAATGTATTTATTTTGGTGCAAAGGGTGCTATCACATTTGAATAATCTTAGACTATTGGGCACAGAAAGAAAAAATTAGAAGTGTAACTCACTAACGATGTCAATCTAGGATTTTTAATAAAAGAAATACCACTGAGGGGAAAAGGAAAAAAATGAAAGGCCTAAAAATTATTCAAGGTGGAAGAAGAATAGAAATTTGCAGAATGAGCACAAGAAAATTATAAACTAGAAACAGAATATCTATAGTAATTAAAATGATTATGGAAGGCAATTGAATGTGAATGTTAAATAGATTCCAAAACATCACTAAGAGAATGTTGATGTATTGATTAAACAGACACACACACACACACACACACGCGCGCGCACACACACACAGAAGGTTGAAATAGAAACACATTAGTAGTCTCAGTTAATCCATATGTTGGCCAAAAACCTTAATCTGAGTCAACTTATTGAGTCAATAAGATGTTAATGACAAATCTCATTAACATCTACATATAGTGGTTTTAATTTCAATTAAAATTATTCAGAATTCTTTAATTACATTATTACAAAATTTCTATGATGTAATCTCCAATTAAGTAGTGTTGCTCTGAAATGCACCAGCAATGTATCTAATTAGTTTTACTCTAAACTCTATCATTGCAAGTATTTAAAACCATCCTATTCTGTGATTAAGTGGAAATAAAAGAAAAAATATTATCTTATATGAAGATGTTTAAAATAATTTAAAATTGGATTTAGGACCAGGAATATAGTGAGGTATAATGTCATGAAACATGATTGTATTTCTAATTAAGAAGTGCTCTAAGTTGGTTTATTTTGGTAAATTCAAGCATATCAATTAACTTTTTGTTAATAGTTTCCTCATATGTAAAATGAGTAGGAGAAAAAATTTTGAGTCCCTTACAGTTAATAAATTGTTACAATTATTCTAGTTACATAGTAAGCTATTTCAAATGACTCACCGTTCCTTTAACCAAGCATATATATTTTTTCATTTTTATTGATACAAATTTGTCAAGAAATTATGACTATATTATGTAAGAAAATTTATTTATGACCTTTTATTAACCATTCTTAAGAGAGTAACATATTGAGTTTCTTAGAAAAACTCAACATTAATAGTAAATTAGGAAAGAAAATAATCAGTATAAATTTACCTAGCACGTTACCCTCTGCAGATATGTGATTATTTGTTGCTCTACAAAATAACAAGGTGACATTTATGACTCCTAAATCAATCCCATGTTAGAAAATAATTTTCCTTGTAAATCTAGATATAGAACAGGGCTGAATTCTCAAATGCATACTAAGACTTCGAAACTTTATCTAGTTATGTATTTTTTATTTACAACAAGAGATACAGTATAGGGGCAAAGCATATATTTAAATCTAAAGTGTAGATTTTATACCTCTGTTAATACATGTGAATTCATGCATTTATAACATTTTTATCAAAGAGCCCTTATGACTAACACTCTATGCATGTCACTTTGGTGATATGACATATATTCTACCCTTACATGATAGTAAGAGACACAAGAAATATAATTGCATTTCAATAAAAAATAACATTCAAGTGACAAGGAGTTCCTATTGAAATAGGTGATAACATGTAAAGAAGGAGACAACACTGCTGTCAAAAATGACCAGGACAGACAAGAGAAAGATTCTTGAACTTAGTCTTAAAGGATATACATGCCTGAATAGGGGATAATAAACAGAGTGCATGTTAAATGTAGGAAGGACATTGCTGTACAATGAATGTTTGAGTTTCCTCCAAAATTCATATGTTGAAATCTAATTCCCAGTGTGATGGTATTTGGAGATGGAGCCTGTGAGAATTAATTAGATCTTGGTTGGGGCCTTCATGATTGGAATTAGTGCCTTTTTATAAAGGGAGCTAGCTTCCTTGCTCCTTCTGGCCATATGACGACACAGTGAAAACATGCTATCTATGGGCCAGAAAGTGGGCTCTCACCAGACCCTGAATCTACTGAAACCTTGATCTTGTACTTCCCAGACTCCACAACTATGAGAAAGGAATTTCTGTTGTTTATAAGCGACCCAGTCTACAGTGTTTTGCTATACATGCCTGAAGGGACTGAGATAAATATTCTAGAAAGAACAAGCATTCAGAGGCAGAAAAGTCCAAGATGTTGACATTTTAACGTAGTTAACAGTATAGACTTGACTCAGCTAGCCTGGTTTGGAATCATCACTTTGATGATAATAATATGTATGAACCCTGAAAGAGTCAATCCTTCAAGATGGATCCTAAGTGGCTGAATGGGCCTTAATTCAAAATAGAGCCAAGCAGCCATTTGGTGACTGGAGGCCAATACACATACTCTATGTTCTGGGAAAACCCTTACGCCTCACCTAACTTTGGGACTTTCATAGCTACCTATTCCTGTTTGTGCAGCCTGAATCAATCAATAGACTGTGTCCTGCATCTGCAATCAAAACTCAACAAGCATCAGCCAGTCAGAACTAAATAATTTTGCATCCTTCATTTGCATAAGTAAACCAGAGTGAGAACCTGGGCAGAAACTTTGTCTATTAATAAAGACAGTCCTTCTCCTTGTTCTCTCGAATGCACCTTTGTTTTGTACTGAAGGCTGCATTTTCCTGGTCTGCAAACTCTTCACCGAAATAAAGTCTTTTTACTTCTCTCTCTTTCTTTTTTCTTTTTAAGAAGATCCTCTTTAGTGGATTTTTTTGTATATTATGGCATAGGGCAAGTTTTTTAACTTGTTTTCTCATCTTCACATTGGCAATAATAGCGTTTCACTATTATTGTAACTATTTCATGGAGCAGCTTAGAGAGGTGTGCTTATGGAAATGTTTGAATTCTAGGCTAAAGGGCTTAATATTTCATCAAGACTGCCTATTGTTTTAGACAGAGTCTCGCTCTGTCTCCAGGCTGGAGTGCAGCGGCACAATCTCGGCTCACTGCAACCTCTACCTCTCAGGTTCAAGCGACTCTCCTGCCTCAGGCTCCCAAGTAGCTGGGACTACAGGCGCAAGTCACCACGCCCAGCTAATTTGTGTGTGTGTG
Source organism: Homo sapiens (assembly GCF_000001405.40). NCBI lineage: Eukaryota > Metazoa > Chordata > Mammalia > Primates > Hominidae > Homo > Homo sapiens. The sequence goes on along the minus strand of NC_000005.10, from coordinate 21,597,120 downwards.
TGTGTGTGTGTGTGTGTGTGTGTGTGTGTGTGTGTGTTGTTTTTTTTTTTTTTTTGAGACGGAGTCTTGTTCTGTCTCCCAGGCTGGAGTGTGGTGGCGCGATCTCGCCTCACTGAAAGCTCTGCCTCCCGGGTTCACATCATTCTCCTGACTCAGCCTCCCGAGTAGCTGGGACTACAGGCGCGAGACACCACGCCCGCCTAATTTTTTGTATTTTTAGTAGAGACGGAGTTTCACCATGTTAGCCAGGATGGTCTCGATCTCCTGACCTCGTGATCCACCCGCCTCAGCCTCCCAAAGTGCTGGGATTACAGGCGTGAGCCACCGCGCCTGGCCCTAATTTTTGTGTTTTTAGTAGATACGGGGTTTCACCGTGTTGGCCAGGATGGTCTCGATCTCTTGACCTAGTGATCTGCCCGCCTTGGCCTCCCAAAGTGCTGGGATTACAGGCATGAGCTACCGCACCTGGCCCCCAAGTGAACTATGTTTCATATTAACTAGTCATTTTAATTTGGGGCAGTATATACAAGCCATTAAGACTGATTATAGCAGCAGGGATAAAGGAAATAAAGCATGAAATAGTTGAGAAATACTAATAAATAATAATCAACAGCGCTTGGCAACTGGGTATGGAAAATGTGAGAACAACTTAGAGTGAGGACGGATTCTAAAACGTAGAATGAGAATGATGGAAAGAAAAGGCCTTGGACAGAAATAAGGAAGCCATAATGAGGAGCTAGTTTTGACAGCAAAATAAGAAGTTTAGTTTAAAATATTTTGTTAGAAATGACAGCTAAATGGCAGCATATGTACCAGTTTGATTTAGAGAGATGTTTTTGTTGAAATCCAAGTTACTTTCATCACATTTGTTGAAGTTTCGTTATAGACGTGGGTTACTATCCACACAAAACTTAAAAAGAACCTCATTTTCAAGTGCTTACACTTTACACAGAGGAAATTGAGGGCAAGCAAGATGATTTACTAGCAGAGCTAGATCCTCTTAGCCATAAAACCTTAACTTTTTATTCTACCTTATGATTATATGCGAAAAACAAGAGAAAATTATGAAGAACTATGAGAACAATTTCAAAGTATTAGAAAACATGAGCCCTGCATACTTAAAGATAACTTCCTAGTCAAGTGTGCTTGTTGGTTTAAAGAAAAGAAGATTTAAAAAGATAATATAAGGAAGCAATTTCTAAAACATCATGTTATTTAAGTAAACAATTTATAACATATATTTATATCAAACCCTTTATTCTTTATAGGAAGAAACTTAAAATATTTAGATAAATCTGGAATTACAAATAAATCTATTAAGTGGAATAAAGAGTTAAAATGGTCCCACTTCCAAACCTACATCTGTATGTGCAAACAAAGGCAATGCTTAAAATCTCAATGGAGTAATGGGACGCCTGATTCTGTAGCTCTGTGCCTAGGTCTGCTCATGGATATATTTAAGAAGTTCTGCAGGTGATTGTTAGTCTCCAAGAGTTTTAAGAATCATCTATCCCCAGCTACTCAGGAAGCTGAGGCAGGAGAATTGCTTGAACCCGGGAGGCAGAGGTTGCATTGAGCTGAGATCACACCGCTGTACTCCAGCCTGGGCAACAGAGAGAGACTACGTCTTAAAAAAAAAAAAAATCATCTATCCTATAAAGATTGAAGCCTCCCAGATAATCTAGCTATCTAATAGACTCTTATTGAGTCCATATTGGAATGACTATTGTGTGGCAGGCAGAGACCTTATTCCTCAACGCATGGTCCAGCACCATGGTTACCAAGGTTTCATTTAGAATTTGTTAGAAAGCCTGGAGCCCACTAATTAGGCTACAAAATGCTAAGCTCATCAAGCTTCTGCCTCTATCTGGAATCTTAACTTTTGTCTCCTTGGAATCCAATCTTTTCATAGATTTTATTTCCCCAGTTATTCTTTAAATCAACCCTTAAGGAATAAAAACTCCTCACTAAACCTATGGTCTATGTTTTTACAGTATCTATCCATTTGCACTTCCCTTCTCAAATATTTCCATTCTTTCCTCTGACACCTTTGTTATGTGATTAATCTCTTCATCTTCCCCACGCCAGGGAGTATGCTGGGACTCTAAATAGAGGGAGTCCACAAAAGGTGAGTTGACATTCCCCCAGGGGCTCCACTCCTGAGGAACCACACAGAGACTACAAGGGAAGACAGTTACTACAGAGACTATGTGTAAGACCCATGGGGTCTCACAGAGATGCCTTGGCACCCCTGTGTCCCCAGGGGAAGTTCCTAGCCTAGGGTGGTGGTCAGTTACTATGTAGGTAACCATGAGAGAGCATTCCAGAGGAGAGTGGGAAGCACAAAGGCCCTGAGGCAGAACCATACCTACCAGCCCTGCAGATTCAACAGTAAAGAGGCCAGTGTGCCTGGGGCACATTTAGATGCATTGTCCACACTGAAGGAAACTCTAGAGGCAAGCAAAAGTGAGTCTTGGTGGAAAGAGGCAGATGCAGAATCAGAAATTGACCATAAGCGCAGAGCAATTCGGGGAAGGCATTTTTCTGGAGGAAACTTTGGGAGCCCAAGATTCTAGAAGTCTACGGATTTCATGGATTTAGTGGTTTCAGTTATACTCACAGCAGTATTACAATTTTTACATAACTTACTCAAAGGCATAGCTACTTACAGCAAAGGATATACTTTATTGGAAAGTAGATGTGGCTCTGGTAAGAAGATAGTTTTTTGTAGCCAGAGCCAAGTAAAATTCTGACTAACTGGAGGAGGCACAGAGACTAGGGAAGTTTGGTCATTAACACTTAGCCACAGCCTCTGCCCTACAGGTCTCATTGGCTTTTAAGGCAGAGGTTGAAATTACTTTGTAAGTGCCACAGTCATCCATACCTAACTTCCAGGTCTCAGGGGTCAGATTTCCAGCCATACCTTAGAAGAGCTTTTCAGGTTAATAAAGGATCCCTGAAGTGATAGGAGTGCCTTCTCATCTGCATGTCTGCCATGTCCCCCTGTGCAGATTGCACTGCCTTCTATGCCGGGTTTTTAGTGAGGGGCCTTTATGGTTTATGTCTAGAATTCATGGCTCTAAGAAAAACATTGAAAAAGATGGAAAATGAATGTTTCTCCTTGGGGTTTTAACAGTTTTAATTTAAATAGAGTGTCACGAAAATTTCAAAAGCAATTATCTCTGTTCTGTTGTTTAGCCATGTTTTTATCATTCAAGTCTAAAATAATGAGGCCAAAGAGTCTCTTGTAGATTTCCCAGGACCCTCATCCAACCCAAGTCCCTAAGCTCTATCTAGAATTTTTAGATAGCGAGAAAGTCAGGCTGTCTCCAGGCATCCCTTCATGTTGGCTAAACAGAACGCAGCAACTTTGGAGTTGAGGATTGGGCTTAAAGAACTAACAAGGGCTAGTGGGAACAAAACAATAGTACAGCTTCAGTTAGAAGTGAAGTATGCAGAGGTAAAGAGAAAGGAAGAGTTATCTTGTCTATAGGAAAAATAAACTATACTCTCTGTACTCCCTACACTATCCTCTCACTCTCAGTACTTCACTTCTGACACCAGATGTGTAGGGTTTTTCTCACACCATCAATCCTCCTACCAGCCATGCAGACTCAACAGTAAAATTAAATTAAATTGTAAGATGCCAGCTCCATGTCTTACAATTCAATTTAATTTTGATAGCAATCAAAGTTAGTCAGACCCCACAGGTTAAGCACTCAGTCTTGCAAGATTCCTCCTCTCCCACTTCAAGTCCCAGTTACAAGTAGTAGTGTATTTGTTAGTTCTTGCATTTCTATGAAGAAATACCTGAGGCTGGGTAATTTATAAAGAAAAGAGGTTTAATTGGCTCACAGCTCTGCAGGCTGTACAGGAAGCACAGCAGATTCTGGGGAGGCCTCAGGAAACTTACAATTATGGTAGAAGGTGGAGGGGAAGCAGGGACATCTTACATGCCTGGAGCAGGAGGAAGAGAGGTGGGAGCGGCCACGCACTTTCAAACAACCAGATATCATGAGAACTCTATTATGGTGATGTGGTTTGACTGTGTTGCCACCCAAATCTTATCTTGAATTTCCATGTGTTGTGGGAGGGACTCAGTGGGAGGTAATTGAATCACGGGGGCAGATCTTTCCCATGCCGTTCTCATGATAGTGAATAAGTCTCGGGAGATCTGATGGTTTTAAAAAGGGGAGTTTCCCTGCACAAGCTCTCTTCTCTTGTCTGCCACCATGTGAGACATGCCTTTCATCTTCTGCCACAGTTGTGAGGCATCGATAGCCAAGAGGAACGGTAAGTCCAATAAACCTCTTTTTTTTTTTTTTGTACATTACCCAGTCTTGGGTATGTCTTTATCAGCAGCACGAAAACAGACTAATACACACAGGAAGAGAACCAAAGGGGAAATTTGCTTCCATGATCTAATTACCTCCCACCAGTCTCCACTTCCAACACTGGGGTTTACAATTCGACATGATATTTGGGTGGGGACACAGATCGAAACCATATTAATAGATTTACAGATTATCCACAACTTCTGTCTAACTTGGCTACAAATCAGAGTTGCCTGGGATCTTCTTCTCATGCTCAATAATTTTCTAGGGCATCTCACAAAGCTCAGAGAAATGCTTACATACATTCATTGGTTTATTATAAAGAATTTTACTAAGAATACAGGCGAACAGCCAGATAAAGAGACTAATAGGGCAAGGTATATAGAAAGGCCCTCAGAGCATCTATGGCCTCTCCAGGTATACTACCCTCCAGGCACCTCCATGTGTTTAGCAACCCGGAAGCTCTCCAAATTCTATGCTTCTTAGTTTTTATGGAGGCTTCATTAGGTCAACATGATTGACTAAATCATTGGTCATTGCGATGAACTCAACCTTCATCCCTTCTTTCCTCCCCAGAGGTGAGGGGAAGGAGGGTGACACTTCCAGTCCTCTAATTACACAGGTGGTTCCCTTGACAACCAGCCCCCATCCTAAGGCTATCCAGGAGCTTCCAGTCAGGAGCCAACTCATTAGCATTAGGGGCTGTGTGTTAGGAAGTGAAAATAACACCAAAGTTATTATAAATCAAAATATCACATTCTACATTTTTCCATTTGCCTTTTTGTAGTAAATGTTGGTATCATTTCTGAGCAATCAAAGATTATGGGTAGAGGGAAAGACATTGACAGGTAATGCAAAAAACATGAAGTCTTACATTGTTTAACCTGCAATTTTTCTATCACTTGATTTAGGGTTTTGCTATTTTTATAAAGGCAGTCTCGAAAATCCTGTACATTTTATTTACAATACTAAAAAGCCTTCCCAGACATATTTTCATCACATTTGTCCCCCTTGATGATTTCAGTGGAGGGAATATAATACATTTAGTTAGCACTTTACTGGAGAGCTATTTAGGGTGAACATATGAAGGTATGTATAATATGCTAACCAGCATGATTAGACATACTTTAAAAGTTATTCAGCATTACATCAATCATTTGATTATAGAATAAATAATGAGATGTGCACACACACGTTTTCCTTTTTTTTTTTTAAACTCAATCTGTGTATATATGTTCTATATTGTTACCTTTGGCAAGATTCTTAACATGTCTGAAAATTCCTGTGAATATTTGCCTATTTAGATGTTACGCATCTATTAATTGTAACTAATTTTAAAAATAAGAGTATAGTGATTGCATCTCATGTCATGTAGTGTTTGGCATGTGGTAGGTTATTTAACAAACGTATCTTGTTTACATGGAGAAATGTATAAATAACATGATTTTTAGTTGAAAGATATCTGGCAGAAACCTGGGAACCAAACACATATTTAATCAAGGTAAATTTTTTAAATCAAACATATTCTAATTCATGTTTCATTAAAAAGCTTATATAAATATGGCAAAATATATGTTAAATTAAATGATGTTATATATATCGTATGTATGCTTTGCTAGCGATTAAAAATAAACTTAAACTTATTGTGATCCTATTATGTATGGGATATTTACATGTCACATTTACTCTTCACAGCAATCTTTGTCCACATATAACAAGTAAGAAAAATTGAGGCTCAAATATGTCAAGAGACTTTCATAAGGTCATTGAATTTATAAAAGGGTGAGCTAGGATATGAGCCCAGTTTGCTTAGATGTCAAGTTAATGACATTGTGTTGATGTCAAAATGCTTTTGATTTTTAACAAGGCAACATGGATAAAATGCAACACAAGAATGCCATACGATGCCAGGCACGGTGGCTCACACCTGTAATCCCAGCATTTTGGGTGGCTGAGGCAGGCAGATCACTTCAGGTCAGGAGTTCAAGACCAGCCTGGCCAACATGGTGAAACCCCATCTCTACTAAAAATACAAAAATTAGCCAGGTCTGGTGGTGGGCACCTGTAATCCCAGCTACCTGGGAGGCTGAGGCAGGAGAATTGCTTGAGCCTGGGAGGCGGAAGTTGCAGCTGTGAGCAGAGATCATAACACTGCACTCCAGCCTGGAGTCTCAAAAAAACAAACAACAACTCAAAAAAACAAACCAACAACAACAACAAAAGAATGGGTAGCCATAGTGGATTCACACTGGGAATGCACAATAGGTATAGTTTACCCAAGACTTATATATACCTGTTTAATTGGGAACAAGCTCACACATTAACTAAACATTTCTAACTCTCATATCTAATTTCAAAGAAGTTTAACTGTATCTATTCTCATATAATATTAATGAAATGGCCAATAATTAATCTAACAAATCTTTGTGGAGTTCCTATCAATCATATGCGTAAACTGAGAATACAGCACCAAATGAAACATGGTTTCTGGGTTCAAGGACCTCATGGGCCACAATGAAGACAGACGGTATTCAAATTTTCCTAATAAATTTCACATAAAAGATTAGGTAACTAGATAAATAGATCGACAGATCAATAGATGGATGAAGATAAAATAATACAAATGTAAGTATTTTATTTCCATGTATACATAAATATATTTCATAGATAATCAAGTCATTCCAACCTTACTGAGTTTCCTAATCAATCATACCTAACATAATTTAATGTTATACATTTGGTATTTTCATCTATTTGGTGAAACTATTTGAATTATTTTTAACTATTAGCTCTTGAATTCATCACATAGAAAGCAACTGCTTTTGTTTTATTTCTAATTGACACATACCATTGCCATCTTTATGGAGAAACATTTTGGTTCTAAACTGATATTGAATTCATTATGATCGTAACCCAATATTTTTAAGCAATATTTGCTTCAAGATTGCTAAAACCTTTTCACAAGTCACACTTCATAACCCTTCAATATTTTGAAAATTCCCTACTGCTGAAAAAAATTAAACCAGCAACATTTGTATTACTTCAGGGTACTCTCTACCTTAATGCTAACCACCTAGAGGTTTACAATTTAAAAAGAAAAAAAGAACCACTTCATTCCATTCAGCTATTCCGGTGTGTTTGTTCTTTGTTATTGATTCTTTACAAATGTATTTGGTTAATACCTTGGCACTGCCCTGTTGGTAGATACTTGTTAGAGATAACACTTACATAACTCAAGTATAATATTTTAGCTTTAACCCAAAGAGATAATATAACTGATTTGCTTTGAAAAAGATACCCGTTTTATGGCTTTTCCAGTGGTGGAGATGGTTTTGCAACAATTTCCTACCATTGTACCAGTTTCTTTTTTGTAGATTTGTAAGTATGCAAGCAAAATAAATATGACAACAGAAATTGTGGCTGTGAAATACTTTATTTGTCTTCAGATTGGTCTGGCTTATACATGGATTGAACCTCAGTTAGGGCAGCACCATCTTCTGTGAAATTCACTGTGACAGTATCACGTCTTAAGTAACCATATCCCCAAGATATTTCATTTCTCTTGAGCCCTGCATATCCTGAGGATCTAGTCACTATCCACCAGTCTTTTTATACAGGTTCTTGAGCAAATGTTTATGTAATCATGCATTTGTATTGAGAATTATTGGAAAGCCATGAAAGTGAAAGTAGAAAGACCATTTCGAAGATAATTGTGACAATTCAGAGGAGAGATAGCAAAAGCCTCCCTGTCTTAGTTTGTGCTGCTGTAAGAATATGCTTGATACTGGGTAATTCCTGAAAGACAGAAATTTTTTTCTGACAATTCCAGAGGCTGAGAAGTTTAAGATCAAGGTGCCAACAGGTTCAGTATCTGGTTAGGGATGCTGTCTGCATCCAAGGTAACATCACCTATCACTGGGGAGCCACTTGATCTCCTTCCCTTGGTGACAAGCAAAAATATCTAGAGAACCATATGGCAATAAAGAAAAATGCAATTATTTCTCAGGAAATACTGCTTTAAAGGTAATTTGAAATATTGCTGTGACTTTGAAGAGAAGAGCATGAAGACAAATTATTCCATGTGGGAGGTTTGCTACACAGCAAATGAGAGCACAGATACTTTTAAGATGAATCGCCTTAACATATTTAGTGGATTATCCTTCAATAATGAAGAGCTACTTCTATGGGGCACTAAAAGATTATCTATCTATCTATCTATCTATCTATCTATCTATCTATCTATCTATCATCTATCTATCATATATGTATCTATCATCTATATATGTATCTATGTATCTACCTATCTATCATCTATCATCTATCTATCATCTATCCATCTATCTATCATCTATCTATAATTTATCTATCTATCTCCTATCTATAAATCTATCTATCTATCTATATCAGAGGTACAAAACATCTCAGTAATAAACAACTTAACAACTTTTATAAATACTGTATGTTAGAAGAAAATTGTACACATATCACCACTGGTGGAGGGCCTACATGACATAAATTTTTTAAAAGAAAAATATATTGAACAAATATTATATATAACAAGAAGGTATTGTTCTCCTATCTAGTGCTAGAGACATTCTATAGCTTTTATGTTGTCAAAATATATAGATATAGATAATTTCATATTTAGTATGAATCATATTTTGGATAATATACGATAATCAGACATTATATCTTAGTTTAACAAGAAACTTCTTTTATGTTAGCTGATGGGTTTTACGTATTAGACAATGCGTAAAATGCTAAAATAGTAGATCTATTTCCATACCCTGAAGGTCAGTAATTTGAACTTAGTAGGATAAATTGAGGGAAGATGTTGTAGAGCTAAGAATACTCTATGGAACATCCTATATATCTCATTCTCTGAGATCCACCTGGTAACAGCACAGTTTTTGAGCCAGAGAAGTAAAAGTGTGCTGCAGACATGTTGTTAAGGTTGACATATGACTATTTTTGAATGATTTTAAAGCCATTTCAAATCACTTCAAAAGTGAATGTGAAGTTCTTTTGCTGACATTAAGATAGATTGATGGTCATACCTTTGGACATATAAGTGAATGCAAATTGGAGAGGTCATTTGAAATCTCACTTTCAAAATAGGTATAGCAATAGCTATCCTGCAGTTTTTACTTTAAACGATTCATCAGTAATCAGTACTACTTTTTTTTACTATGATGATCTAAGGTTGACTTTCTTCCTTCATTCCTTCCTTCCCATTTGCCTTTCTTTGCTCTTTCCTTAACTGCCTTCGTTTTTTTCTTCTATCATCCTCCACACTTTAGTAAATGATAATGATTAATTCTAAAAAGATCCAGATGGAAATTCCTGTGAACAAAGAGTGGTAGGTTGCATGATGCTTTTCCTACAACCACCCCCACCCACAAATGGGCATGGCCTCATCCCTGAAACCTGTTAATATGTTAACCTTGCATGCCGAAAGGGGCTTTGCAGAGATAATTAAGGTAAAGGTCGTGAGATGGGAGGATTATCCTGAAGTATCCTGGTGGGTGCGGTGTAGACACTAGGGTTTATGTAAGAGGGAGGCAAGAAGCTCAAGTCAGAGAGAAAAAGATATGATGACAAAAGCAGAGGCTGGACTGCTGGGAGGAAGGAAGGCTTACAAGGGCAAGAATGCAGGAAGCCTCTAGAAGCAGAAAAAGGCAAGGAAACAGGTTTTCTCCTGCAGCCTCCAGAAGAATCTGGCCCTGTGAAAACCTTGATTTTAGAACTTCTCTCTTCCAGAATTGTAACATAATCTACTTGTGTTGTTTTAAGCTGCAAAAGTGTGACAATTTGTTAGGGCAGCAACAGGAAAGTAATACTGGGAACAACATATGCAACTGCATGAAAGTGTCGACCTTAGTAATGGGACATGTGAAGAAATGTAGCTAGAACATCAAATGGATGCAGAAAAATACCAAGTTATTAGGCACAATTTGCTCCATTTTTTTTTTTTTTTTGACCTGATTAGGTACCTCTGCTTTGGGTTCTCATACGCAATTTTCAGACCTGTTTTATTTAACTGATTGTTTTTCTGTTTCCTCTGATCTGTAAATTTACTGTGGACAAAGATCCGTGCTGTTTTGCTCACTGGTAGATTTCTGGCACCCAGCACAGGCCCTCAATTATGATATTCGTTAATGATTGAAATGACTTTTAAGTAGTTTGTTCTCAGAGAGGGGTCCAAATATTTATATGACATGTCTGAAAAAAAAAAGAATGTAATTTTCTACAACAGATAGTTTTCTCTTAATGACAGCAGGATAATTTTGATTTTTCCAGTGAAAGTTTTCTCAGGGAAATCTAGTTTAAAACAGTCTAGGTCAGGTGCTGTGGCTCATGCCTGTAATCCCAGCACTTTAGGAGGCTGAGTCTGGAGGATTTCTTGAGGCCAGGATTTTGAGGCTGCAGTGAGCCATGATTGGGCCAGTCCATTTCATCAAGGGCAAAAAGTGAGACTCTGTCTCAAAAATAAAGAAATAAATAAAATAAGAGAATAAAGAAGAGTCTAGTTTGTAAATTACTTAATGTTTCATGGTTTCTTCCTTTTCTGAAGTCCTTCCTTCTTGGTTCTCCTTTCCCAAGTGGCATCTGGGCCTTTGGGTTTCCTCATAATATTGGGGAAGTGCTAAGCTGTCTCATGCTGTCCCCCAGAAGCTCTCTGTAACCACGATGGAAGGGTTCAGGGTTTAGCTCCTGTAACAGCAAGCCCGTTTGCTCTTCATGACTGATGCTTAGTGGTTCTGATGCAATGACTCACTATGGCTCCTATGAGTGCAACTCCGCTTCCACAGCCCAAAGTTAGGCCCTCTTTGTCCTTGTGTCTATCTACTCATCGGATCCTTCCTAGTGGAGAACTCCCCTTCCACATCATTATTCTTCCATCTAGCTTTCTCAGTTTCTGGTTTTGCCCTAGTGGGGTATATGGGAAAGTTATGATCATCCATATGTTGTGTGTTGTCAGTGAAGAACCAGCAGAAATATCTCAGGTCCATCTGTAAAAGTACTGTCATCGGAATCAATATTCCTACATCCAGGCATTCCATTAGACTAATTGTCAGGGAAACTAGAATTTGCTTAGAAGGGCACAGACTTTCAGCATTGCAGGGATGGGAGAAATCAGCCTTGTAGTCTTATAAGCAATTGCTCTTTCAAACTAACTCTTTGCTAGATCCAGAAATAAAGACAGCGTTTATATTTACATTATGCCTTTTCTTTCCTTCTTCTTCCATCTTCTTTCTGTAACAAAAAAAAAAAATAGATAAGCATTTACCTTTTATTTTTCAGCAAAACACTCTCTAAAGCCTTTCCAGCTGCTTTATAGACTAAAACAGCAAACAAAACAAAGCAAAACAAACAACAAAACCAACAACAAAACTCTCAATGATCTTAGACAATTAGGCTTGGATCTTAACGTGAAAATTCCATTTTGGGTGAGAAATGTCTTTACCAAAGAATCGTAAAACATCAAGATCATTTGTTGGAACCTATTTTCTCACCTGTACTTTTAATACTCAACCCCGACACTATTTTGATGTTCACAGAGAAGCATTAACTTCCTCATAATCAATCAAATTCAGCCATCCCCATGAGGCATACCTTTTATCTGATGAGTTAAAAAGCCTTAAATCAGTTAGGAACTAGGAATTACCTGAAACACAAATGTTTTGATTTAACATCTTCTTCCTACACAAACTTTATTTATTTCGAAGGTGGTTGAAAGCCCTTGAAGGTTATTAAGCAGGTGACTGACATGGTCATAACTGTAGGTTCAAAATCACTGGCAGTAGATTGAAAGGAGTTACTGGGTCAGGATAAGCCTAGAGATGGAAGTCCATTCCATGCTAGATCTAAAATGCAAGTGGGAAGCAAGACTGCTGTGACCTAAGACAATGATCCGAAGACAGAGAGAAGAAGGTAACATTGAGATAATTTTATAAAAATGAAATGACTCATTGGATGTGGCAGAAAAAGAGCAGCAGAAGAGTCTATTGTAATTCCTTGGCTTTTGTGCCATTTAATGACACAGAAAATGGAAGAAAAAGAGCAGATTTTAAGAATACGGGCCGGGCGCAGTCGCTCACGCCTGTAATCCCAGCACTTTGGGAAGCAAAGGCCGGTGAATCACAAGGTCAGTAGATCAAGACCATCCTGGCTAACACGGTGAAACCCCGTCTCTACTAAAAATACAAAAAAAAAAAATAGCGGGGCGTGGTGGCGGGTGCCTGTAGTCCCGGCTACTCAGGAGGCTGAGGCAGGAGAATGGCGTGAATCCAGAAGGGTGAGGGTGCAGTGAGCCGAGATCGCGCCACTGCACTCCAGCCGTCTCAAAGAAAAGAAAAAAAAAAAAAAAAAAAGAATACAATTATCCAGTCTCCTTTGGACATGTAGATTATTAACGACATAGGAATTCAGATTTAGACTCAGAAATGGAGTCTCAGCAGGAGATATGAAGACTTGGGAAATATAAGTGTATGGAGAAGACAATTTTAAATTCAGGGACACTATTCATAGAAAACCTGATTTTTAAATATTTTATGAATAAAATCAATTTTACTTTATTATAGCATAAATATAAATTTCTAAATGGCAGTAGTCAACAAGCCAACATATTAGACGTATATTTTCCATATGTTGGAAAATATTTTTATATAGGCATAGATCACTATGGGCACAGTTATTTGCCACTTTTTATACATTTATTTTTCTTTGCATAACTTTCATAGCTCTAGACTTCTCTGGATTTTTTTATTCCTCATCTTCAACTCATAAGTCCTAAATATTTCTAATGTGGTCTAAGGTAGTTGCCATATGATGGTTTACAAACATGGCTACAAGTTATAGAACTAATAGATACATAGAAATCTATGGAACCCATTCATGTTAAGTGGACTTTTTGCTTCATTTTTTGTGTATACAACCTGGACTGCATGCAGCTCCTTTAGCTTCTTGAGTCCTACCTACATAAAAGACATTTTAAATATATTTCTGAAAAGATAAACATTTCTAAAAGTCTTAAAGCAAATACTTTTTTGAAAGCATAGTAATTAATTAGTAAAAATACATCAAAATGTATGCATGTAAAAGCAAATATACTTTAAATATGATGTAAAAAGAAATAAAAGTGCTTGTTTGTAAATTTATGCAATATTTTTAAAATTTAATTCATATATTGGTATTCAAATATTGGATGGAAAGTAATTTTTCAGCCTTTGATGTTGGTGGCATTCTTTTTAATACTGAACACATTTAGTAACTGTATAATTAAATAAATACAATATTACTCCTGCTATAATACATTCACCATCATTTTTCATAATATCTTAAAATGGGTGCCTTTATGATTAAGAATCAATCAAAGAAACAAGAAAGAGATCATATACACTTTGTTAGTCAAAAAACTGAAAGGGTATTTTATATTTCAGCTTTAGAGGAGGCATAATTTGGTGACATTTGAATGTTCTCTATATTTAGGACTTTGTCATGAAAATTGCCCTATTTTGTATGCACATTAATGTTCTTTCAGAGAAAACGTAAAATATTCCTGGATAAGTTCCCAGGTGCTGTTAAGTAAGTTCATTCTGCCTCATAATTTGTACATCGTTCTCTCACATGGTGCTATTTGTGTTATTGATGGGCCTATGCATTCTCAGTTGCAGACTTCCTGTCTTTGTAAATTCTTTAGATGATCCTGCTTGTAATTACCTTGTGCTGGGCCCTTTCTCTGTTACCTGAAGAAAGTTTTATAAATCACATTATGCATGCAGAACAGCAGTGCTGTGTGTGGATTCTATTCTTGTTCCATGTCTGAGGCCTCAACTGAATGTTGCAAAGGAGCAAAACAAATGGACAGTGACCCATCTATCTCCATTTCCTTCTGAAGGTGACATCAGTGGATCTTTTTGATATTATTTAATAACCTTCCAAGACCAACCTCATTGTTTAGAGATACATTTGTCCGTGTCTTATTTGCCTTATTATAAATTAATCATCCCAAATTGTATGTGGATATCATTGACATATCCAAATTTACACAGAAAATGAAATATAAATATATAAAAACTCATTATATCTAGATATAAACTCATTATATCTAGAATAATGAGTTTCACCTGTTTATTATCCTCTCTTTTAAGGAGAAATTTTAGTTCCTTCAAAATTTGTATAATCTGCTAAAATATTCCCAGTTGTGAGGATAGTAAGAGTTTCAATGTATCTATCAACTTAATATGTTTATAAAATTTCAACTAGTGAAATTTTTATTTTTTCTACTGAAATAAAAATATTTAGCTTGTTGTTCTGTGAATACCAGTATTCATTTTTTAACATTTCTACAATTCAGATTACCATACACCTAATATCTTTTAGCTGAGTTATGTCTAAAAGAAGCTCATTGTTGAATTCAATGTTCTGAATTTTAACTGTCTCTTTATTCTTAAGAAAGGTGGTCATTTAATTAATGAAAGATGCATTGAGTATTGAATACATACCATGTACCAAGCATTTTGCCATTCTCTGCAGATATTGTGATTTAAAACTTAAAAAATGAATGAGATAGAAATTACCTTTATTCTACTTTGCACAAAGCTTATAGTATAGTGAAGGACGTGGAAAGTTAAAGAGGGATGTTAATTTCCAATTGCTGTTGTGAAAAGTTACCACACACTAAGTGGCTTAAAATAACATGAATTTATTATCTTAAGTTATGGAAGTCAGAAGTCCAAAATTAGTTTTACTGGGTTAAAGTAAAATGTCAGATGGACTGGCTCTTCCTGGAGGCTCTGAGAGGAGAATCCATTTCCTCGCCTTTTTCAGGTAACAGTAGCTACCTGTATTTCTTGGCTTGTGGCTCCTTCTTCCATCTTTAAAATGTATTATTCCAGTCTCTGTTTCCTATCACCCTCTCTGCTGACTCTCAGTCCTCTGTTCTACCTGCAACGGTTATTATGATTATATCAAGGCTATGTATGTAATTCAAGATTATCTCTCCATTGCAAGAGTGTTGATTTAATGACATCAGCAAAGTCTTCTTTGCCATATATCTCAGTACGTTTGAGCTGCTGTAACAGTACACCACAGACTGGGTAAATCATAATGTGCAAAAATTTATTGGCTCACTGTTCTGGAGTCTGGAAATATCAAGTTCTGGTTTCTAATGATGATTTTCTTTCTGTATCATCACATGGCACAAGGCAAAGGGTGAGAGAGCAAGAAGGAACCCAACTCGCTCTTTTATGATGTTTTGATCCCAGCTATGAAGGCAGGGCCTTTATGTCCTAATCACTTCTTAAATGTCTTACCTCTTAATACCATTGAAGTGGCAAATAAATTTCAACATTAATTTTGGAGGGGACAAACATTTAAATCATAGCACCATGTAAAGTAACATGCACAGGGTCCAGAAATTAGGATCTGTATATATTTGTCTCAAGAAATAAACAGATGCTTGCAATAAAGGAAAATAAATTTTACAATAAGAAAAACAGATATTCTTATAGAAGCATAGAGGAGGGTAATCTAAAACAAGGATGTGGCAAAAAAACAAACAAACAGTATTTTCCTTTTGTTTGATTCGGTTCACTCTACCAAACTGTTTACATGCTGTTCTTATTTTGCAGAAGACTAGATCATTTGTTGTGGTGCTTTTGTACATTCTTCATAGGTGTAGCCCCCAGGTATCGGCTTCTGCCTGCGCTTCTCTCAATTAGCATGATTTCATTGCTGCTGGGCTGGTTGCTTGCAAGACCTGCTACATCCACTCCCTTAGATCCAATCTCATTATTTTCTAGCTCCTGTCAGAACTGTTGCATGCCGTCATATGCTGCTTTAAGAAAAACATCCATGTCCTTTGCCCACTTTTTGATGGGGTTGTTTGTTTTTTTCTTGTAAATTTGTTTGAGTTCATTGTAGATTCTGGATATTAGCCCTTTGTCAGATGAGTAGCTTGGGAAAATTTTCTCCCATTTTGTAGGTTGCCTGTTCACTCTGATGGTAGTTTCTTTTGCTGTGCAGAAGCTCTTTAGTTTAATTAGATCCCATTTGTCAATTTTGGCTTTTGTTGCCATTGCTTTTGGTGTTTTAGACATGAAGTCCTTGCCCGTGCCTATGTCCTGAATGGTAATGCCTAGGTTTTCTTCTAGGGTTTTTATGGTTTTAGGTCTAACGTTTAAGTCTTTAATCCATCTTGAATTGATTTTTGTATAAGGTGTAAGGAAGGGATCCAGTTGCAGCTTTCTACATATGGCTAACCAGTTTTCACAGCACCATTTATTAAATAGGGAATCCTTTCCCCATTGCTTGTTTTTCTCAGGTTTGTCAAAGATCAGATAGTTGTAGATATGTGGCGTTATTTCTGAGGGCTCTGTTCTGTTCCATTGATCTATATCTCTGTTTTGGTACCAGTACCATGCTGTTTTGGTTACTGTAGCCTTGTAGTATAGTTTGAAGTCAGGCAGTGTCATGCCTCCAGCTTTGTTCTTTTGGCTTAGGATTGACTTGGCGATGTGGGCTCTTTTTTGGTTCCATATGAACTTTAAAGTAGTTTTTTCCAATTCTGTGAAGAAAGTCATTGGTAGCTTGATGGGGATAGCATTGAATCTGTAAATTACCTTGGGCAGTATGGCCATTTTCACGATATTGATTCTTCCTACCCATGAGCATGGAATGTTCTTCCATCTGTTTGTATCCTCTTTTATTTCCTTGAGCAGTGGATTGTAGTTCTCCTTGAAGAGGTCCTTCACATCCCTTGTAAGTTGGATTCCTCGGTATTTTATTCTCTTTGAAGCAATTGTGAATGGGAGTTCACTCATGATTTGGCTCTCTGTTTGTCTGTTGTTGGTGTATAAGAATGCTTGTGATTTTTGTACATTGATTTTGTATCCTGAGACTTTGCTGAAGTTGCTTATCAGCTTAAAAAGATTTTGGGCTGAGACAATGGGGTTTTCTAGATATACAATCATGTTGTCTGCAAACAGGGACAATTTGACTTCCTCTTTTCCTAATTGAATACCCTTTCTTTCCTTCTCCTGCCTAATTGCCCTGGCCAGACACTTCTCAAAAGAAGACATTTATGCAGCCAAAAAACACATGAAAAAATGCTCACCATCACTGGCCATCAGAGAAATGCAAATCAAAACCACAATGAGATACCATCTCACACAAGGTAGAATGGCAAACATTAAAAAGTCAGGAAACAACAGGTGCTGGAGAGGATGTGGAGAAATAGGAACACTTTTACACTGTTGGTGGGACTGTAAACTAGTTCAGCTATTGTGGAAGTCAGTGTGGCGGTTCCTCAGGGATCTAGAACTAGAAATGCCATTTGACCCAGCCATCCCATTACTGGGTATATACCCAAAGGATTATAAATCATGTTGCTATAAAGACACATGCACACGTATGTTTATTGTGGCATTATTCACAATAGCAAAGACTTGGAACCAACCCAAATGTCCAACAATGATAGACTGGATTAAGAAAATGTGGCACATATGCAGCCATAAAAAATGATGAGTTCATGTCCTTTGTAGGGACATGGATGAAATTGGAAACCATCATTCTCAGTAAACTATCGCAAGAACAAAAAACCAAACACCACATATTCTCACTCATAGGTGGGAATTGAACAATGAGATCACATGGACACAGGAAGGGGAACATCACACTCTGGGGACTGTTGTGGGGTGGGGGGAGGGGGGAGGGATAGCATTGGGAGATATACCTAATGCTAGATGACGAGTTAGTGGGTGCAGCGCACCAGCATGGCACATGTATACATATATAACTAACCTGCACAATGTGCACATGTACCCTAAAACTTAAAGTATAATAATAATAAAAAAAAGAAAAACATCCATGTCAATATACTTATTAAAATGTATTTGATACTCATTGCCAAATAATAATGGGCAATTTTCCTGTAACAGGTATTATATAACCTGACTGTGACTTATACTTCTACCCTTTGCACTAATATATATCCTGAAGTTTAGCTCAACTTGAACAATATCCATTTGGTGTGAAAGCCTCCCATGTTCCTTCCTTCATGAGATTATAATTGTACACAGTTGCCTGGTTTTAAAAGCCCAGCCTAAGTTCAAATTGGCTGAAGATGACTTTCAAAATTCATCAAATCTGAAGTAACCTTTACTTTTTGGGAGTTCCTTAAATACGTCTCAATGTACCTTCTACCTTATGTTGTTATTATTTACATCAGTTTTCTATCACTATAACTGGTATATATGCTTTTTGAAACAATCCATGATTTATTCATCTCAGTGTTTTTCAAAACACCTAATACTACATTTTAGAAATAAGATATGATCAATAAAGATAGGGAGAATGAATTAAATCTATGATATATATTTTATTCTCAATTTATACTACGTTTACCTCCAAAAGGTATTTTAAACAACCAATAGCAGCCAAATATAACATAGCAAAGGAAAATAAATTTTAAAAATTGCTAAGGAGGCTGGGTGCGGTGGCTCACGCCTGTAATCCCAGCACTTTGGGAGGCCGAGGCGGGCGAATCACGAGGTCAGTAGATCGAGACCATCTTGGCTAACACGGTGAAACCCCGTCTCTACTAAAAATACAAAAAATTAGCCGGGCGTGGTGGTAGGCACCTGTAGTCCCAGCTACTCGGGAGGCTGAGGGAGGAGAATGGCGTGAACCCGGGAGGTTGAGCTTGCAGTGAGCTGAGATCGCGCCACTGCACTCCAGCCTGGGCAACAAAGCGAGACTCTCTCTCAAAAAAAAAAAAAAAAAAAAAAAAAAAAATTGCTAAGGAACCCAAAGGAAAAATAAAGACTATGAACACTAAATTAGATCAGAAAAAAATCGTTTAAAAATCCAGAGGTTATTATACTGTTGTCAGTAATGAATAAGTATTAATCAAATATCAATTTATTATCCAGTTTTACCATTAGGTAGGATTCCAGGGAAGAATGGCATAGGTAGAGTTGGGGTTGGAGGTGGGGGAAACTTGAGTTTGACCAGTGTAGAATATTCAACAAATAGCTCCCACCAGCATTGAGGAGGTAACAAGAGGAGGAATAAAGTTCAAAGCCAGTGTATAATTTACAACAAAATCATTCATCCAAAAAGATCAATAGAGAGTGGGAACCAAAGTAAGGAATAAGTTTGTGGTCTATAAAACTCAGAAAGCCTCATGCCTGTAATCCCAGCACTTTGGGAGGCCAAGGTGGGCAGGTCACCTGAGGTCGGGATTTCGAGATCAGCCTGACCAACATGGAGAAACCCCATCTCTACTAAAAATACAAAAAAAAATTAGCCGGGTGTGGTGGGCAGCCTGAAGTCCCAGCTACTCGGGAGGCTGAGGCAGGAGAATCGCTTGAACTCTGGAGGTGGGGGTTGCAGTGAGCCGAAATCATGCCATTGCACTCCAGCCTGGGCAACAGAGTGAGACTCCATCTCAAAAAAAAAAAAAAAAAAAAAAAAGAGAAGAAAAGAAAAAACAGGCCGGGGTGCGGTGGCTCACATCTGTAATCCCAGCACTTCGGGAGGCCGACTCTGGCAGATCACCTGAGGTCGGGAGTTCAAGACCAGCCTGACCAACATGGAGAAACCCCGTCTCTAATAAAATACAAAATTAGCCAGGCGTAGTGGCCTATACCTGTAATCCCAGCTACTCCGGAGGCTGAGGCAGGAGAATCGGTTGAACCTGGGGGGTGGAGGCTGCAGTGAGCCGAGATCTCACCGTTGCACTCCAGCCTGTGCGACAGAGCGAGACTCTGTCTTAAAAAAAACAAAAACAAAAAACAAAAAAACAAAAACAAAACACACACACACACCTCAGAAAGCAAAGTATTTCAATGTATGTAAAATGAAGATAGGTTTCAAGATGAATTGTCTTTTTATTCTTCTGCTTTGCAGATGTGCCTACTGGCTATCCTAGATCAACTGAAGAGAACAGACTTTGAGGGAAAAAACAAAGTTTTCTTTTCACAGTATTCTATTTTTTCTCCCCATGTCAACCACCACGAGAATGAACTGAATGGTACTGATAACTAGTTCTCTTGAATTCTCTGAAAGTTTTCTAGAAAATCGAAAGTTTATTTACAAATCTGAGTCCCAAAACAATGTATTTTAAGATGTGAAACACAAATACAGTTTGCCAGCCAATCTAACTAAAGAGATGTTACATTAGCTGCAGGATACAAACTGAACTTTTTGATATAAGCTGCAATTTTACCACTAGACCACAGCCAAAAAAGAAAATAAATCCTTATATTGACTTGAATGTTTATATAAGACCCATAATATATTTTTTAAAACATTCAACACAAGTGACACATAATATTGAATTTGGTTGATGTGCCTGTTTTTAATATACCTCAATATTAAGGAGTTTAAGGTCATGTCACCAAATGTTACTCAGTCATCAAAATGACAACATAAACCTGATTGGATCTTCAGTATCTTTTAAAATCTGTCTATGAGGTGGACACACATTTCTCAAAGACTTATTTAGTGGCAATTATATGTGTGCCTAGAGTTTGACATGCTGCTAAATGAAGTTGATTTTATGCCTCCTTGTACCTACATATCTAGTAGGGGAGGTAAACAAGGCAGTAGCCAGTTATAATATTTTTAGGAAGCAAGGAAAGGGGATTATGGAAACAAAATAACAATTATTTCTTCCATCCAGACTAGAAAACATATTTAATTTTCAGTCAGAAAGAATAATTTTCTCTCTTGTGGAATTACTATGATGGAAATGAATTCATAATTTAACTTTTGTTTGCTTTTTATCTGAGTCCACTGCAGCAAATTGACTCAACACTTTCTTTTGTCTTCAACGGGTTGTAGCTTATGCATACACAAACATAGAGTCATTCACATACATGTGTACATACAAAATTTTGAATGTGTTCTCCGAACTGGTATATCTCTTGATTGTTAGAATAAGCATCTCATGTGGACAGGAATTATAAATGAGAGAAAAAAGCTACATTGTCTCGAGACATTTCTGCATCTTCACACTTAGACAAACTGAAGCAAAATTACTTTATTTTAAAATGAAAAAATGTGTCAAGAATCATGAGTATGTATTGTCACTATACGAAGTTTAAATTACTACTTTATAAGCATAGGGCAATCCAGACTTTATAAAAGTATATTTGTATACATTCAATTGCCACCCAACTAACATGCGCAAATAAAAGAAGCAATTCACTTTCAATAAACTGGTGTTAAAAGGAAAAATTTAAACCTCATTGGGAAAACAAATGACTTAAAATACCAGCAAACATAAGTGGGATGATCATAGCAACAAATAAATCAAGTGGTCCAATATTCATTGTTTGCAGGAGTCGAAATAGTGTATATAATTACTAATTTATCACACACACACACAAATTCACCAGCTGAGAAAACTCCTATTATATCCAAACAAATTCAAACTTGAGGAAGCATAATCAGTTGGATCATAATGGACAAAATAAGTGTCTGCAATTCTATTCTCCTAAGGAAACAAACTTAATTATAGCTATTAAATCTGTGGGCTATAGTACCAAACAGAATGATGCCAGATGATTAGTTCTGGAAGTTTTTGTGCAGCTGTCACCGAGGGTCCACTTGATAGTGGCGGACTTGGTATTTTGTATGCGTGATAAACTGACATGTCAGAATTGACCTGAAAATATCTCTTGTAAATCTAAATAGGTTTGATATTTAGATATAGTACAGAGTCAGAAAGGGACAAAATGCCAACTCTAAAACTAAACAAAACATCTCAGAAATTTTAAAACGATTGTTAGAGACAGGAAAAAATGCCTTCTTTACTAATTGGAAGGGAATTATCTGTAGTTAAAAATCTACCTAGATGAAATCATTTTACAAACAACATGTAAAGTCCTGCTATGCTTGGAAAAAGATAGAACCAAAGAAAGTTTAACTATGCTACATAATCAATTAACATGATTTTGGGAATTAGGAGAATAAAGTGAAATAGAAGAGGTTTATCAGTCAATGCAGCTGGCCCTAAAAGAACAACTAATACGAGACTGTTGTTCAGCAGATAAGCAAAAAAATAAAAAAAGGTCAGACATTTTAAGTATGTTGCAATGCTTTGACGCAAAGCACTTCTATTGCTCCCAATTTTCATTCTTATCTAACACACGCCCATTAGTGTCTTAAGTAGTGATAATGTAGTAATAAGAAAAAAAGACTCGAGGGAAAAACTAATCTCTGCATCAGTTTGGGATAGAAAAAAAGTGGAAGGAAGTGAGTCTGACTACCTAGCTCTACCAGGATATATACAAGTGTTTGAAAATAATTTTATTTTCAAAATAAATGGCTGTATTTTCCCGTAACATTTGCTGATGTTTCTATAATGCTGTATTTCAGAAAATTGCGTGGCCGTCCTCCTGTGCCAAAAATGGAAGTCCTGTTAGACTCTTCTCCTTTCCTCGTGCATGTCTTATCAGTCAGATTGTACAATTTTATTTTCTAACATTTTCTTAAATTCATGCTCCTTGCTTTCTGCACAATATTCTTGCTCTGATCATTTTCTCATGTCTCCATGGATTAATGAAACAACAATGAAAAATATTTGCCTCTATACAGTGTTCACAAATCCCCCCCACCCCCTCCACCACCACAGCTGCCACATGAATTACCATGAATGGGAGGCTCAATAAGCAGCTCACTCTTCTGCTTAGAACCCTTTAGGGACTCATTATTTCCAAGTGCTCTTTTTCTGGACTGGGTTTTATGACTAGTTGAGTAAAGAGTGGGGTTATTCTATTCAGGCAAACGTCAAACTTGCAAAAAAATAGATTTAGAGAAAATTCATTCTCATGTTTGTTTTGTCTTTAAACTTTTTCCTGCTCTTCATCTTTTCTTTTCTTTCAGCACCAATTAATATTTCATGGATTCCTGCTTACAGGAACATTATTGTAGAAATATGCCCTGGCCTAGACTATAAATTCTAAGTTATTTAGAGTGACATAAAAGGAATCTTGCCTTTGGCTAAAAATCCAATTATATCTCCTTTTAAACTTGACATTATAATTTATGTTTTATTAATGAAAACTGTTTTCAATTCTCTGTGAAAAGGATGCTGTTTCATGAATCTCTAGCCTAAAAACTTATCTCTTTTTTCTCTGCCCCTCTTCCTTTATTTGATGAGCTCAGCACTGTCAAATTGAACTTTCTGCAATGAAATAAATTCTGTATCTCTTTGTAGCCATGAACAACATATGGCAATTGAATGCTTGACATGTGGATAGTATATCTCAAAGACTAAATTTTAATTATACATAATTATATATTTTATATAAATTTATATATATTATATATGTATATAAATTGCCAAAGCCACCTCAAACTTTAGCAACCACCATCCTGATCAGTCAGCAGCCATCAACTTGAGGCAAGACCTTCCACCAGCAAAAAGACTTTCTGAAGGCTTAGAAAATTGTTGGCATTTTTTAAGCAATAAAGTATTTTAAATAAAGGCATGTACAGTGTTATTTTAGACACAATGCCATTGCACACACACATACACACATCTCTTTATATATATAGTCTGTATATATGTGCTTTGTCTGTACATACATATATACACATATACAGGCATAGCACAGATATAATGTGGGTTCAGTTCCAGACTAGTATACTAAAGCAAACATTGCATGGTTTCCCAGTGCATATAAAAGTGATTTTGACATTATACTATAGTCTATTAACTGTGCAATAGCATTGTGTCTTAAATAACACTGTACATACCTTTATTTAAAATACTTTATTGCCTAAAAATGCTATTCTAAGGCTTCAGAAAGTCTTATTGATGGTGGAAGGTCTTATGTCAAGTTGATGGCTGCTGACTGATCCGGGTGGTGTGCTAAAGGTTCAGATGGCTTTGGCAATTAAAAAAAAACAACAGTAAGGAAGTTTGCCACACCAATTGAATCTTTCTTTCAGGAAATATTTCTCTGTAGCTTCTGATGCTGTTTGATCGCATTTTTATCCGCAGTCAGACTTCTTTCAAAATTGAGGTCAATCCTCTCAAACTCTACCGCTGCTTTATTAACTAAGTTTATGTAATATCTTAAATCGTTTTTGTAATTTCAACAATGTTCACAGCATCTTCACCAGAGGTAGATTTCAATGCAAGAAACTGCTTTCTTTGCCATCCGTAAGAAGCAAATTTTTCATCCTTTAGTTTTATTAGGAGATTGAAGGAATTCAGTCACATCTTCAGGCTTTACCTCTAACTAGAGTTCTCTTGCTATTTCTACCACATCTGCAATTACTTTCTCCATTGAAGTCCTGAACACTCAAAGTCATTCAAAAGGGTTGGAATGTACTTCTTCCAAACTCTGGTTAATATTTGTATTTTGACTTCTTCCGATGAGTCAAGAATGTTCTTACTGGCATCCAGAATGGTGAATACTTTCCAGAAGGTTTTCAATTTGCTTTGCCCACATCCAAGAAAAGAATCACTATTTATGGCAGCTATAGCCTTACAAAATGTATTTTTAAGTAATAAGACTCAAAAGTCAAAATTACTCTTTGATCCATGAGCTGCAGAATGGATGTTATGTTAGCAGGCATAAACAACCTTAATCTCTGTATAGATCTCCATGAGAGCTCTTGGGTGACCAGGTGCCTTGTCAATGAGCAGTAATATTTTGAAGGAGCCTTATTTTTTCCTGAGCAGTAGATCTTAAGAGTGGGCTTAAAATATCCAGTTAACCATGCTGTAAACAGATGTGCTGTCATGCAAACTTTGTAGTACAATTTGTTGGGCACAGGCAGAGTAGATATAATGTAATTCTTAAGGAACCTAAAATTTTCAGAATAGTCAACAAGCTTTGGCTTTAACTTCAAGTTACCAGCTGCATCAGCCTCTAACAGGAAAGTCAGCCTGTCTTTTGAAGCTTTGAAGCCAGACACTGATTCTGTAGCTATGAAGGTAGCCATGTAGATGGCATCATATTCTGTAGTTATGAAGGTAGCCATGTAGACAGAATCATAAACCAATAGAAAGCTGTTTTCTTTACATTGAAAATCTATTAGATTAGCCATCTTCATCAATGAACTTAGCTAGAACTTCTGGATAATCTGCTGCAGGCTCTACATTAGCCCTTGCTGCTTCCTCTTGCATTTTTATGTTACGGATATGAGTTCTTGCCTTAAACTTCATAAACCAATCTCTGCCAGCTTCCAACGTGTCTTCTGCAGGTTCCCCACCTCTCTCAGCCCTCACAGAATTGGAGAGAGTTTGGGCCTTGCTCTGGATTAGGCTTTGGCTTAAAAGAATGTTGCACTGGTTTGCTTCTTTTTTTACAGACTACTGAAACTTTCTCCATATGAGCAACAATGCTGTTTCACTTTCTTATCATTTATGTGTTCACTGCAGTAGTACTTTTAATGTTTTCAAGAACTTTTCCTTTGCATTTACATTTTGGTTAACTGTTCTGTGCAAGAGGCCTAGCTTTCAGCCTATCTTGGTTTTCAACAAGGCATCCTCACCAAACTTAATCATTCCCAGCTTTTGATTCAAAGTGAGAAAGATGTGACTTCCTTTTATTTGAATATTTAGAGGCCATTGTAAGGCTATTTATTGGCCTCATTTCAATATTGTTGTGTCTTAGGGAATAGGAGGGCTTGATGAGAGGGAAAGAGACAGGGGATGAGCTGGTCGGTGGAGCAGTCAAAACCCAGACAACTTTTATCAACGCGTTCACTGTGTTATATGGGTGTGGTTTGTGATGCCTCAAAATAATTACAATAGAAATATCAAAGATCACTGACGAAAGGTCACCCAAACCAATATAATAATAATGTAAAAGTTTGAAATATTGTGAGAATTACCAAAATGTGACAGAAAGACACAAAGTAGATACATATGATTGGTAAAATGGCTCTGATAGACTTGTTTGATGCAAGGATACTATAGACCTTCCATTTGTAAGAAAAAAAAAAGAAAAAAAAATCTGCAAAGTGCAATAAAGTGAAACACAATAAAATGGGGTACACCTGTGTTTAGAATCTAATCTACTATGTATTCTTACACGAATAGTCCATGATTTGTAGGCAGCAGTCTAAATCAGAAGATGATAGGGCTGGTGAAGATGCTGTAGCATTAACAAACATCTCTTAACAGGACTTTTGTGTTGGTGGTAAACATTTCTGCACATAAGAAAAATCGAGGCAAAACAATACTGTGCATTATCTAAAATGGTCATAAAATTATTTCTGCTGTTCTCTCTGTTGAGGGCAACACATTAGGCCCATTTACCAAAGGACCTTGATGTAGAGGGCTTTCAGTTCTAGAAAAGGTCATTTTATTCCATAAGAATTTCTTCAGAATGACTATAATTTGCCTTGGCCAAATTGTATTGTAAGCTCACAGATTTACAATTGCTGAGGACTTCCAATGGTCTCTGACATTATTTGTTATCTAAAAACTTCATCTTTATCAATTAGTGTTTCAGAAGATTAAGTCTTAATGATATGAATTGTATTATATAAGTTCCTAAAAGATATGAAATTTTGAAGGGTAATTTCAGTGTCAGTCTAATTACACTTTTAATTCTCATATATTTCCAGGCAATTAAATTTAATTTTTAAAGTTCTGCTTCTTTGGTCACTTTATATGTAATGTAAAAATCTTTGTAAATTAAATTGAAAGTTTTAACTGGAAACCATTTAACTGGAAACCTAATATTCAAATAAAATAATGCATGAGTAGAGCCCAATCCACTTTATTTGATAACAGTTGCACTTAGCAAATGCATTTATGAAAATAATGCAAGCTTTAACAGTATATACAGTAAAATAAGATAAAATAAGCTTTAGTGTACGCATTGCCCAACCTCAACAACTCATTGTCAGTCTTGTTTCCACTATGTTCTCATTTTCTTCCCAACCTACAAGATTCATTTTGGAAGAAATCCCAGGCATATCTTTTCATTTAAAAACATTCAGAATACATCTCTAAATTACTATCATTCTTTAAAATAACTAAAATGTTATTAACCTTGATTTTAAAATTAACTGTAACTGCATCAATGGTCAGTGTTCAAATTTTCTTATCTGTCTCGTAATATTTTTATTCATATTACAATACAAACAAATCTATACTTTGCAAGTGGATGATATTTGTACGTCTTTTTCTCCGTCACCTCTGTTTCCCTCTAGTTATGAATACAAATTAAAACACAACATACTAAAACATGGAATGCGGCAGAGATGCTCCTGAGAAGTAAATTTATAGTAGTGAATGCCTACATTAAAGAACATACAGATTTCAAATAAATACTTAATCTTATACAATAAACAACTAGATTATCAGGAAAAAAAAATGAGACCCAAAGCTCCCAGAAGGAATGAAATAATAAAGATAAAGTTTAAAAATGTATTCAAATGAAATATAGAATGGAAAAACAATAGAGAAAATCAATGAAGACAAACGTATATTTTTTTGAAGAGACGAACAAAATTGACAAATTTTTAGCTAGATTGACAAAAAAAAGGAGAAGATTCAAATAACAAATTGGTAACAAAAGAGGGGACATTACTATTGACATTACAGAAATTTTTAAATATTTTAGAAATTTCCATATATAATTTTATATGTCAAAAATTAGGTAAACTAGATGAAATGGACAAATTCCTAGAAACAAATAAATTACCAAATTGACTCAAGAAGTGGAAAATCTGAACACATTTAGAATAAGCAAAGAGATTGAATCAATATTAGAAAACCTCTTAACAAATAAAAGTTCATGACCAGATGGTTTCAATTTGTTAACTTTACTAAACATATAAAGAAAGCTACTACCAATCCTTCTCAAACTCTTTGATAAAAGACAGAACCCTTTCTAACTCATTCTATGAGACCAGCATTACCCAAGCACTACAGCCAGATAAAGACTTCATAATAAAGGAAAACTAACAGACCAACATCACTTATGAATGTAGATATAAACATTCTCAAATACTAGTAAACCAAATATAACCGCATATTATATAGATTATATACTGCAGCCAATTGGGATTTATCTCAGGGATGCAAATTTGATTCAACATGAGAAAACCAATCAGTGTAATACACCACATTCATTGAATAATAAAAACAACAATTGATTATCTCAACTTATCCTGCACAAAAAATCCCATACTCTTCCATAATAAAAACATTAAATAAGCAGAAATAGAAAGTAACTTCCTCAATATGATCAAGCCCATATTTTAAAAATCCACAGCTAATACAATTGTTGTGGTGAAAATCTGAAAGCTTCCCCTAAGATCAGGAAAAAGACAGGGATGCACACTTTCACCACTGTACTAGAATTTCTACCCAGGGAAATTTAAAAAGAAAAGGAAATAAATGTCATTCAAATTGGGAATAATATAGTACAACTTTTTCTACTGGCAGATGGCATGATCCTAAATACAGAAAATCTAAAAAAATACACAAAAAAGCTACTAGAATTAATAAATAAAATCATCAGCATTTCAGGATACAAGATCAACAAGCAAAAATCAGTAGTGTTTCAAAATATACTAGAAATTAAAAATTTAAATTTAAAATTAAAAAAAACTATGATAGTGGCATCCAAAACAAGGAAATAACTAGAAATAAATTTGGTTATGTCTAGTGGGGTGTGTGATGGTGGTCATTAAAGATTTGTATACTGAATTTTTTTAATTGCTAAGAGAAATTAAAGAAAATCCAAATAAGTAGGAAAAATATCTTGGGTTCATTGATGTGAGACTTCATATTTATTAAGATGTCATTACAACCAAAAGTGATCTACAGAGTCAATGTAATCTCTATCAAAATTCCAATGGCCTTTTTTTGCAAAATGTAAAAATCAAATATCAAACTCATATGGAATTGCAAGAGGCACAAGATAAACAAAACAATCTTTAAAAAAAATTGAGGACTCACACTTCCCTGTATCAAAACTTACTATAAAACTATAGTAATCAAAGCAATGTAGTGCTGGCCTAAGGACAGACATACCAATGTAATAGAATTGGGAGTCCAGGAATAATTCCATATGTTTATGGTCAGATGATTCAAAAATCAAGAGGGCCAAATGACTAAATGGGAAAAGGAAAGTCTCTTCAAAAATAATGTTTAGACAACTGAATATCTACATGCAAAAGAATAAAACTGGACTCCTACCTCACAACATATAAAAAATTAACTGAACATGTATCATTGCCATAAATATAAGCACTAAAACCATGAAAGCCATAGAAGAAAACATGATTAAATCCAAATGACCTTAGATTTGTCAATGAATTCTTTAGCTATAAGACCAACAAAATTAAGCAATAAAAGAAAAAAAACAGATAGTTGTATTTCATCAAAATTAAAACACTTTGGGCATTAAAAAAAAAAAACATGTATTGTTTTTCTAGGTTTCCTAAGACAAAATGCTACAGACTGGGTAGCTTAAACAATATAAATTATTTTCTTATAGTTTTGGAAACAGGAAGTCCAAGGTCAAGGTGTCTGCAGGTTTAGTTTCTCCTGGGGCCTCTCTTTTTGGCTTTCAGATGGTCACTTTCTCATTGTCTTCACATAGGTATTCCCCTATGAGTAAATCCATGGCTCTTCTTCCTCTTCTTATAAGGACACCATTCCTATCAAAGATCCCACAGGTATAACCTCATTTAACCTTAAATTCCCTAACTTCAAATACAGTAACATTCTGGGTTAGGGTTTCAACATACACATATAGAGTAACACATTTCACGTTATCAAGAAAATGATAACCTAGAGAAGAGGAGAAAATGTTTGCAAATCATATTTCTAATAAGTGCCTCATACCCAGAATATACAAAGAATACGTACAATCAACAACAAAAAGACAAACAACCCAATTTAAATAAATAAATCATGGACATGGGTAGACATTTCTCCAAAGATATACAAATGGCCAATAAACACATGAAAAGATGTTCAGTGTCATTAGTTATTAGACAAATGCCAATCAAAACCACACAAAGTTACTACTATCAAACCTGCAAAAGTGGCTATAACTAAAAACATGGAAAATAATTATTGATGTAGATCTGAAGAAACTGGAGCCCTCCTTAATCACTGGTGGTAATGTAAATCATTCAGCCTCTGTGAAAATCAGTCTGAAATTCCTCAAAAAGATGAACATAGAAGTAACCATATGACCCTCACAATTCCACTCCTAGAATAGAAAACTATGTGCACACTCATGTTCACAGTAGTGCTATTCACAATAGCCAGTGGTGAAAACAGTCCAAATGCCCATCAATGGTTAAATAGATAGACAAAATGTGATATACACATAAAATGGAATATTATTTGGGATATTATTCACCCATGAAAAAGAAATTACTGAGACATGTATAACATGGATGTACTGCCAAAACATGTTAATTAAAAGAAGCTATATAAAAAGGACACATGTGAGTATATTTACATAAAATATCCTAAAATCCATAGAGAAAGTGTTCAGATTGGTGGCTGTCAAGGAGTGAGTAGGATGAGAAACTGCTTAATGGTTGTTTTAAAATTTCATCTGATGGAATTGTTTTGGAACTAGATAGAGGTGGTGGTTGCACAACACTGTAAATGTACCAAATGCCACTGAATTGCTCACTTTAAATGGTGAATTATATGTTATAAAATTTTCACCTGAATAGGTTATTTTTTAAAAAAGCAGTGAGATTTCTTCTAATTAACCATTTTATGGAAAATATAAATGAGAAGTATCTCTATTCACATATGGCTCCTGAATCCCAAAGGAAAACCAAGTGCTAAAATACAATAAATAGTTTGTGAAAAGTAATCTGTGCAGACTCATATTTATAAATTCACTAAAAACCATCACAGGAACAAAATTCATATTTCATTTTAAAAAATCAATACTTCTCAAAATTTAGAAAAAAGAGGAACTCTTTCTAATCTCAGTGGAAAAGGAGCTCTACACAACCACACTCAATCAGAAAATACATTCAGGAAGTAAAATGACTTGTGCTCCTGGAATTAGATGAAAATGGATTCTGGATCAATGTTAGAATTGTGTTGTCTTCATGCAAAGGACTCTTCTATAATTTTGCAAAGCTAGTTTCTAGCATGATTTACCTGGAGCTTTTTTGTATATTTTGCTAGTGAGAGGCCTTATGTTTAGAGAGTATTGTTACCAGTTTATGGTCATTTACAAAATTAAGAGAACTTTTTTTCTGGAATTCAATTTTCTGTCCCTAGGATGTGCATCTCTTCATCATCAGACAAATAGACTTAAAGCCAACTCATTGTTACTCTCGTCATCAATAAAAGAAGAAGAAGTAAAGAAGGTAAAGGTAAAGAGGATGTAAAAGTTATCATTTCAGGACCTTTTCCAAAAGTTTTCACATAACGCCACTGTTTACATCTGACTTTCCATTATGTGGACACATGAACACATCTAGTTGTAAAAAAATCCTATTATTTGTCATTGTCACCATTACATGTGCCCATGTACCTAGGAAGAAATCAATGTCCAAATGTAGGGGGATTGGCACTGGGATAGGCAAACAGCAGCCTTTACCCATAGTCTGCTCCTTTGGTTACCAATATATCCATGGATATCCATTTTCCTGTATATAGAACACATTTGTCTGCTCCCCAAGGAGAAGAGTTAGTATGCCATCCATTACTCACATCTATTTGCAGCCAAGTGTTCACAATCACTGAGTAACACGCAGTTCTTTCTACTAGATGCAGATAAGAGATTGCAGTATCCTGAAACTAGATGCAGATAAGAGGTTGCAGTATCCTGAAACCTGCAAACTGAGACACTAGTTACTTGCACCATACACATGTAATAAAATGATGATATAAGAATACATATTTCATTGAGAAAACCTGGGAAACACATTAGCTGATAGCCAGTTGGAATTAGCAAATAATGTTCAGCATAAAAAATAGAGACTCTACTTCAGTAGTAGGGCAAGTTTTCTGTTTAGACTACACTCTAAGCTTTTGATTCTTCTCTTTGGGAGGATATCCTTTCTCCATTGTACTTTGTGACCTCTTCATCATGTGTTATACATTTGCCTTTGGGTGCACATTCTTGAGGGACATAGAGATTTCATAGCCCATTTCATGCTGATGAAATCTGGACATGCTATAACATGGATGTACCGTCATGGGGATTCCTTAAGGCTTTTAATGTTGGGTCCAATAATTGGGTCCAATTCAGATTTATTTTTCAATAAAATTTCTTGAAAAATGTAGTAAATTTCTATTTGCTTCTAGTCAATTATATACGCAAATAATCACAATCAAAGTCTTTGTCTAAACAGATTTTTTTTTAAGTGTGAAATCTTCCTAAATACTTATTTTAGCCTCTTGGCTCTGGCCATCCTCCTTGTAATGTGGATGCCATCTTTATTACCAAGCTCATAATCTTTACAGAGGGGGATGCAAGTCTACGAAATTTGTGGCTATGCAGACACTCTCTCTTTGGTTACAAGTTGAGATAACAGTGAAGTTAGATATTTCAACCCTGAAAGTTTTAGAATCTCCTATTGTAGATTTCAGGCAGAGAAAGGCTCCTTTAGCAAAGCTCTGTTTTCTTTCTCTCTTTGTATTCCATCTACCCTAGGCATCAATCACTCAATCATTTGTAGGATTTTTCTAATAGATTCAAGAAATAGCACCAATAAAATTTCAAAACTAAGCAATTATTTTTCCTAATACTATATCCTAAGTTAATATGTAATTTGTCTTCCAAGGTGAAAAGATAACTTATTCAATAAAACATGACAAGGGTCACCTGCTTTCCTATCTGTGATATACATGCTCCTACCTCCCACCACCCTACTAATTACACAAACCAATTACATGGCTTAGTTTTCTTGAAAAATAGCTCTACTGGTACCATATTCTACAATCGTATGTGTTATATTTGGCTGTGAATAATAGAAACACAATAATAGTGGCTTAAAATCTAGAAGTTTATTTCACTCTTACAGTAATATTCACATGTAAGCAATCAAGTCAGCCATGAATCAAGCTACTTTCTACTTCCTTCTCTATCGTGGCCATCATAGATCTCACCCTTATGATCCAACATGAAACTCTGGCCTTCACATTGGCTAATTGCAAACAGCAGTGTAGATGATGCAGCAATACACTTCGGGAGCTCTGTAGAAAATTTCTCAGGAGGAATTGTTATGTAATAGTTCTACTTTCATCCTTTTAGTCACATGCCACTACTCAATGCAAAGATGAGAAATGTATCTTTCATTTCAGTTGGCCATGACATCAATTAGAAATTAGTGGTGTTGTTTGGAGGAAAATTCCATAGGGAAGACAGCTGGCAGTCTCTGCATAGATTTCTTCATTGTTCTTTAAATCTGCCGTATTGTACAATCATTTTAACAATTAATGAAATAACCTTGATATTAGGAGGCTGTAAAAGGAACTTGACCCACCTGACTTTGTACTTTTTGAAATGCATTTCTATTTTATAACTTTTATCCATCACCGCGCCCTGTTTCTTGTGATATTTCATGGGTCTGACCTCAAACATAAGGAGAATATTAATCAAATGATCTTGATTATTCAGTTGGCAAATATTAAAGGCAGATGTAACATAGATTGAAAAAAATGAATTTTTATATGAACAAATGGAGACTGAGTTATTTAACTAGATCTTTGCTGATGTGATGTAAAACAAAGAAAACAGAGATAAAAACAATGTTTAATATACAATTTAATTATTCTTTACCCAGTAAGAAATAAAAATTAATTTCTCGATATGTAAGTGCAAATTGACAATTTTCTGTGGTTATTTAGAATATATACGTATGTTATAAACAGTGAGATTATTGGCAGATAGAACTTAACTTTCTCGAGTTAAGCATTTATTGCATATGCAATCTGTGACAAATGCTATAATAGGTAGCAGAGCTCATATGGACCAACATATACATGTGCCTGCCTTTTATCATCATTTTTACATGTGGTTCAAGGTGCG
Source organism: Homo sapiens (assembly GCF_000001405.40). NCBI lineage: Eukaryota > Metazoa > Chordata > Mammalia > Primates > Hominidae > Homo > Homo sapiens. The sequence goes on along the minus strand of NC_000005.10, from coordinate 21,562,772 downwards.
CTTTTTGACTCTATGTCCCCAACATGCTGCCTCCAAACAGTTTCTTAAAAAGTTCTGTTACTATTAAATTGCATGAAATCTTAGAACTTCATATAGTGCTTCCATGAGGGAATCCCTCTCTTGCATTAACGAGGAAACTAATCTTCTTCCAAATCTTCAATCCTGAAAATATGAGTCCAGAAATTTGAAAATTATAAAAAATTATTGTAAGCTTAGCTATCAATATAGAGAGGTTGATGGACCAAGAAATTCACTGACATCAAATAAAAAGCAAAAACAGGAAGTCTAACAGGCAGGACTAACAGGCTAAGCTCACCCTTTCTGGGAAGCTGGAAAGGATCACCTAACAGAGACGCAGTCAGAATCTAGTCAGTTTTGCTTGCAGCCTTTGCACTATTACAAGAGTGGGATCCAGGCCCGCTTTGCTGCTAAAAGCGAGTCAATTTTTTTTGTGTGTGAATAAAACCAATAGTAATAGATTTGTGCAGGTAGCATTTTTTATAAAAACCTATGAGTGGTGTTCCAAGAAATAAGTTTTGGAAGCAAAATATGACCTTAATTAGGCAATTCTGCATATGAGTATGTGTAGGAGGCTAATGCTGCTAAGAGATGCCAATGTTGCAATAATCAAACACTATCTTGAGTGTTTCCTGGAACTTTCAAGAATTTGGGTATTACCTGTAGACTATAATTTTTTGTAGATACTATTAAATATAATTTATTAAGCATTCTTGATATCCATGTTAACGAGTAGAATATAAAGAACACTGAAAATATTTAAGAATAATTTATGATTTTGTGATTCTCTGATAATTTGGGAATTCTGATATCTCCTCCATGAATCCTTAAAATTAGTATCTGTCAGGAATTTGAGACACCATGAACTCCTCTGTAATTTCTGTTAGACTATAATTCTGGTAGACCGCAGTTATCATTTGTTTGCAGCCTTCCCAATCTCTTCTCTAATTTGAATAACTCTATTTTCTATTTAAGAAATGGCCCTTTTGCCATTGCACATGGTCTTCACCTGATTAACTGTCATTTCTCATTTCCGTGACCACAGAGGATAGGTCAATGCCCCACCTGTGGCAGATCATGCCTGACTCAAGCATGATCTACCATGCCTTTCCCTGGATGCCGAACTTAGCATCAGGTTCCTTCCAGAGCCAATACTGAGACAATACCAATAGAAATAAAAGTTTAAAACCAGAGGAACAACTGGCCTGAGTATACAGATTTTGCCTTTTTGAGAGATAGCAGCTACAGCAATGAGCATACTGTCTTGTTTCCCACACTCTCCCGAGGCCCATGAGTGAAAATCTCAACACTCCATAGCACCAATAGTGTTCTGTTAGTTGAGTGAATGAGGGAGAGAGTATAATGATTGGCAAGATGATGACCAAGAACATATCCTTGAGAAACTGTATTATGAACCCAATTTAAGATTGATATTGGTGTAATCTCTCATTTATAACATAAAAATATTTCCATAGCAAGTAAAATAAAATTTTGTCTGTGTGTATATTCATTTTCTTTCCACTTGCTGGAAATGAAATCAAGTCCAAGAAAGAATAATATTGAAGCTAAATTGATTATTGCATATACAAAGTTATTCCAATTGCTAAAAGTAATTTCAGGAGTATGTTTGAGTAATGAATGTCTCTCTTTTTAGCCTGACTATATCCATAATAAAATATCACTAAACATATCTCTATTAATGCATTTTCTTCTTAAAAGATTGAGGAATTAAACTGGATGTGGTTAATGAAACTTACTTTAATCCATCTTGTAAAACACACTGATAAAAATCTGTTAAATTCCTCATTTAAAATATCACACGTATTTCATTTAGCTACTACGCTCCTGAACTTTTTATTCACAAACTAAATTAAAAGTAATAATAAATTAAACTAGTCTATAGCTTTAAAAGAAGAAAACTAATATGATTTTTTGTTCAGTTCCCATATGTTCTTAAGTATTGCCGTTTGTCATAAATTTCATGTTTTCCTTAATTAACTCTATAAATAACATATTAAAGTGAAATACTTGATGAAAATTAAAATTAAGGACTTGTAAAAGCTATACCTGTCTAACGGTTTGTCAGCTAAATTATACCTTCTACCATAGGTGTCAGTATGATGCCTCAGTTGTGTTTCAAAATTAGAAAAACAAAAGACTAAAAAGACTAAAAGCTCTTTTTTTTTGAGATGGAGTCTCCCTCTATTGCCCAGGCTGGAGTGCAGTGGTGCAACCTCGGCTCACTGCAACCTCCACTTACCAGGGCTCAAGCAATTATCCTTCCCTAGCTTCCCGAGTAACTGGGGCTACAGGCACCCACTTGGCTAGTTTTTGTATCTTTAGTAGAGACAGGGTTTCACCATGTTGGCCAAGCTGGTCTGCAACTCCTAAACTCAAGTGCCGCCTTGGCCTCCCAAAGTACTGGGATTATAGACGTGAGCCACCATAGCTGGCCTAAAAACACTCTTTTTAAGAGAAATGCTATAAGTTAATACTTCGGTCATGTTACTTCTTCTTTTCTCTTTATAATTCATATACACCTTTAAAGAAATATTTGAAGCCTGACTTCACCTATGACTCTAGGCCTTATTTTCATCTTACTAGTAGTGCCACATAACAGAGTTTGCTTCTAAAATTATAAATTATTTTTTAATTTTTCCTCTTTGTAGCTCTCCAATTATATTCCCAACTATTTGAAGACACTGACTTAGGTAAATATTATTTAAGAATCTCCATTGTGTCTGATATAAAACATAAAAATATACTTCTTAAAATAGAAGTATTATAGAAATACTATAGTAAAATAAAAGTATAATATAGAATACGTTATGGGTGATTTTAAATAATGTTGAAACAGGAAAATTATTTTTCAATATTAGAAAATCCCAGAAGTCATGAAGATTCATAATTTTGTCTATATAACATTTTTAAATCCCTCATTTGGAAAAAATTATAAATAATTAGAATAAAGTATAAATGATGGTTTGGAAAAATATTTGCAATTATCTCAGAAACCAAAGGGCAACTTTCCATAATACAGATTTTTAAAAATATTATACATTACTGAGAAAAAGAATAAATTTACCAATTACAAAATTGGTGAAGGGAAAAAAATAATTGGGCCTTTAGTAAATAAAAATGATATTTATGATCACTCCTAATAAAATAGATGCAAATAAAAACTATAGTAAAATATAGCTATTTTAAGAAGTAAATGATTAGCAAAGACAGAAAAACGTGGTAACAGATAACAAAGTTTAACACAATTTAAAATAGTAAACTTTCCCTCAGCTGCTCTTCACATGCCAATTTAAAAGAAAAATTTACTCCATAGCACCTATCAACATCGAACATACTACAGTCTATTGAAATAAGCTGCACATAACAAGTGTCACATAGCCTACATAAGCACAGTTTTTCAACTTTGAGGCTCCACCTTTCTCTAGATTAGTCATGAGCTTCAGGCCCTGGGGCCAGGAATGACAGTGCTTCTATGCCAGGCCTTCTCCTCCTCCTTCACTCCCGTCTTCCTTCTTTCCTCTGTCTTCTTTTTCCTGTTCATCTTCAACTTTATCTCCTTCCTCTTCCTTATCCACATCTGCTTTGCATAAAACTCTTTTGTCAAACTGGTGAGAAACAAAGCTTCCTTGAAAAAATTATCCACAAAATGCAAAGCTCATTGATAATGTAAAAAGTTAAATTCTAAAACTCTGTGTTGAGGTGAGACACAGATTTTCATTTTCTTTTATTGTTTTATGGCATAAAATAATTCTATCAGGGAAGGAAGAAGATAGATGGCTGCTGTAGTTGTGCTGGTATAATCTGGACTAGAACTCAATAGTTTATAAATGTGAAGTTAACTTACAAGCAACATTCTAGTGAGTCTGCTGTCAGTAGAACTCATGGTAACTCTGATAATTTTAATGATCATAAAAGTGAGGTAGGAAACAAATATGACCATTGTGTTTAGAAACCATGATCCTTCAAAACTTGTATTTCTTCCTAAATAAATACTAATAGGGACTAAAAAATTAAAATTGGTAGTGAAGTCTTTACCAATTTATGTGATCAGTGGTATTCTCTTAATATTAACATAAATCTTTATTGATTCATTAGACATTTTTAGTTTTAAATAAAATGATCAGAAATGTCAGCAAGGGCTATGGGAAAAAAGGGCTGGGTAAGAAAATTTGAAGTCTCACCTAACTGGAATGTAGCAATTGCAGATAGATTGGTTGGGATTTATTTTATATGAAATATAAAATATATAAAGGCCACTCTGGTCACTTACATAAAATACTCAGCAGAAGCCCTACCACTTTATAATAATTCAGTAAGTGTTAACATCTTATAACTAAGGTATCATTCAATTCTAAAATCATCTAAGGAACTTTTGAAATGGATGTAGTGCGTATATTTCCAGGTTAAAAATGAAGCATTTTTAAAAAAATTACTTTTATTTATTTTAACTCCTTTGAAGTACTCTTTGAAAACAATAGAAGTAAGGAAGAAATTTTGGGATAGAACAGAAAGGAATAAACTAAACAACCAACGGAGTTACTGGAAAGAGTTCACCTGTAACCAGATAAGGTCCGCTCTCAGACCAAAAACTTGCTGTGTTCTACCTCCCTCTCAACTCTTTCTAGGTGCTCTTCTGTTCTGTTTTCATAATCTCACCTTCAGTATTATCAAATATTGTCACAGAATGGCTGGACTCTCAGCTCAACTCCACCCTCTAACCTAGAACCTCGGCTCTAAGTGAAAACAGCTGACCCCATTTTTCGGCCCAAATGATTGCCCTTTTGGCCTGCCCCGCCCCCTATCTTGTGAGTATAAAAAGACTTCAGCTGGCCAAGCAATAGAAGCAGCTGGTGCAACAGGTTGGGGATGCAGGCTGCTGAGTGTTGAGGATACAAGCGGCTGAGCATCTCAGACTACAGACAGACGGAGCTAACTTCAGAGGGTGCGGCTTCAGGGAAAGATCACTTTCTTCCCGCACCATCCCCTTTCCAACTCCCCATTCCACTGAGAACCACATCCATTGCCCAGTAAAATCCTCTGCATACACTACCCTTCAATTAGTGACCTGATTCTTTCTGGACCCCGAACAAGAAATGGGTGCCAAGAGGGCAGGGGATTGGATGCTGCTGTGGAACGCATAGAGCCTGCTCCTACCAGAGAGAAGCAGCTAGCTGATTCCAGTGTTCCTTTCTTCTGGTTCCTGCACTTGCTTGCTCGCACACTCCCTCTTGCAAGGAGTGGCCAGCAGCAGGCTAAGGGTAACAGGCCACTCCACTTCCCGCCCATGAAGGGAGGTCAGGGGAACAATCCTGTCTCAATATGAAATCTAATTTCAATAGAGGATTAAGTAGCTACCAAAAAATGATAGATTAGATAGAGACATAGATACAGATAATATTGATAGATATAGATATAGATATAGATATAGATGTAGATATAGATATACTGCATCCATCTGGTGATAGATTTCTGTCTTCAGAGTTGGAAATAACAGGCGAGATGGGGGTACTAGATCACAGAGATCTCAATTGTTTAACTCCTCAGTTTGCACACCATGATAATGAGGGACAGAGGCTGTATTTTCCATAACATATTCAATGACTTTATTTTGCAAAATCTCATTTCTTATCATTGATCATTTTCCAACATCAGATGCTAACTTTTTCTCTTGGACCAAAAAAAAATATGTTATCATGTGTTCTTTTCATAAATGTTTCTTTATTTCAGTAAAAAAAAAAAAAAAACTATTAATTTCAATGATGAAAACAAGGTAACACATTAAATTACGGAATGCCATACAAAGGGGGTATTATTTGTCAGTTTTAATATTATATATGCGTTTCTAGGAGACAGAAATATTTCTGCTTCAGTTATGTTTATTTTACTGCACTGTTCCATACAAGAATACATTGCAGGGTTAACAGTTTTTAAAGTGACTCACAATTTTGTGCACATCTCTGCTATATTATTGCAATCTGCATTCTGTTTAAGTTTTAAATTTAAAAATAATTGCTTCTTATTAAAATCTCCCACATTGCATTATTGCTGGTCATGCAGAAAATTACTTTGCTGCAGGAAACAAAACTATCCAATATAATCTTTTCTCCTTATAGCAGAGGAGATAATTGGATTAATCACAAGTCAAAATCTTGGAAGTAGAGTACTTGGTTGGCTAAACTGAGCCATGCCTGTTGGCGATGATAGATGATAGAGATTCGATAACGCTAGATAATCGAGTGAAGCTAGTCACCATGATAATGATTATTTTTTAAAATACTGGAATTTGTTAATTATCCACCAAATATGAGGAGAAGCTGGACTTGCCCTTTGAGGGAACTAGTTGCCTTGTTAAGACATCATCATATATCCACGTCCACTTAGGCAACTTGCTCCTCTGCTTATCTAGAACTATTCTGTCAATGTTGAAAGCTTGTGATGAAGTAGAGGTCTCTCATATTGTGAATCTTAGCGATGATTACTGCAAATGTTAATTTTTTTGCTAAATTTTTCTTCTTTTTCTTCTATTAAGCCAATTCAAAGTGTGATATATTTCTTGAAACTGTCTTACAGCTCTTTAATGTTCTCTTTTGTTTTTGTTTTTTTTTTTTCATCTTTTTTTCTCTTCTCATTTCAGTTTGGAAATTTTCTATGGGCTTACCTACAGCTCACTCATTGTTTCTTCAGTCATGGAAGTTGATTAATAAACCCATCAATGGGCCTATTCTTTTTTCTCCCTTAGCATTTTCTTTTGTTTTTTTCTTAGTTTTTTTTTCTTTTTTCATTTCTCTGTTTATATTACACACCCCTATTTTTTTTTCTGTTAAGAGCCCTTAATATAGTAATCACAATTATTTTAATTTCTCTGAATGATGATCCTAACAGTTGTGTTGTACCTAGGTATGGTTCTGATTCTTGTTTTGTGAAGTAAAAGTAAAGGAGTGACTTGATGAAAAATTACAACTGCAAATGCTTATATTAAAAAAGAAGAAAAAAGAATTAAAAAATTAATGATTTCAGCTCCCACCAAAAGAAGCTAGGGAAAGAGGAGCTTGATTATTAAGTAAAAGTAAAAAATGGATAAATAAATAGAAAAGACATCTCTGAAGGAAAAAACAAACTAATGATAAAGTAAACAAACAAATGTTATTTTAAATAAATTATTAAAAACAATTTTTAAAACTAGATTGCTCAAACAAAAGCAATGAAAGAGTAGGTTGCACTATATTTGTAACACACAATGGCTAAGAGAATATTATCTTAACAACTTTATGCTACCAAGTCTGGAAACTTAAAGAAAAGTGGCAAATAGCTTGAAAAACACAAGTTATCCAAACTAGTTTAAAAAGTAACTGAAAAGCTAAGTAGTCCTATTTCTGGTAAAGATATATAACTGATGATTAAAATCCTTTATACAAAGAAAGAAAAAAAAATAAACAGCCTTATGTAAATGTACTGGTAAATTTTATTAAATATTTAATGAATGAAGCATATAACTCTTAGTTGATAAAGTACAGTAGGAAATGTTTACTTAATTATGATTACCATAATACCAAAATTAGAAATTCAAATAAATATTTAATGGATGAATCATATAAATCTTAGTTGATGAAATAGAGTAGGAAATGTTTTGAGGTGGGAAATTAAAGAAATAAGGAAAAATAAAATTAAAAAGAGAAAGAAATAAGCTTTCCTGTATTAGGCTGACTGGTCCCAGAGGCAGCAACAGGCACAGCCCAGACCCAGGAAAAGGCTTGGTAAACACTATCTAAGAAGCTAGGACACAAAGGAATGTGCTCTGGAGACTCTCCCAGCACTCCTTCAACACATGGAGACAAAAAACAAATTTTCCTTTGCTTTATGGTATTAGTTTATAGATTCTTGTTTTCTGTAACTGGTAACTTCAAGTATTCTGTTTTATCTAAGAAGTACAGTGAAGGTCATGAGAAGCCTGAGCAGGCCTGAACTACAGCTGTCTGGGCACCATAGTGAAGTTATGCGATAAACCAGTGCAAGACTCTTTAGAGCAAAACCTGGATAACAGACAAATGGGTTGCTTGGCAATGGTCATGTGTAATCCGGAGTTATGAACCTGTCACAATTTAATTAATTGTTCTGACTCTGTATCCTTGCTTTCGCGCCACTGTAACTGAAAGCCTGCTTCAAGGTAGTCCACCCCTTTGTGAAGTGTGTATGAAAGTCAAATGCTGTCTTTGTTCTGGACCCAGTCTTTGGATGTTGAGTTTGCTGGGTCTGACTGCACTCAATAAAGATATCCTCCTGTATACACCCCAAGGTCTCTTTCTGGTCCTCCTGATTCCACAATATTTCACTTATTTAATTATGATTACCATAATACCAAAATCAGAAAAATTAGAAAACACAGATGTAAAAATTGATACATACATAGATGCAAAATTGTAGAACCAGAAAAGCTTTAGCAAAATATTAGCTAATTGAAATAAGAAATACTGGTTTAATATTGGAACATCTATGGCTGTATTTCACCATTATACTAGAGATTCTAGCATGTGCATTAGAGCAAGGGAAAAATATGTAAATTAAGAGTAAAGCTGCAAAACACTATTTGCATTTGACATTATTGACTTTGTAGGAAATTATAAGGAATCTACAAAAAATGTTATTAATATTTAAAGAACATAGTGGGTTCAGGCCAGGTGCGGTGGCTCACGCCTGTAATCCTAGGACTTTGGGAGGCTGAGGCGGGCGGATCATGAGGTCAGGAGATCGAGACCATCCTGGCTAAAACGGTGAAACCCCGTCTCTCCTAAAAATACAAGAAAAAAAAAATTAGCCAGGTGTTGTGGCGGGCGCCTGTAGTCCCAGCTACTCGGGAAGCTGAGACAGGAGAATGGCGTGAACCTGAGAGGCGGATCTTGCAGTAAGCCGAGATCTCACCACTGCACTCCAGCCTGGGTGACAGAATGAGACTCCAAAAAAAAAAAAAAGAAAAAAAAAAAAAAGAATGTAGTGGGTTCATAGGAAACGTGGCCATCATACAAAAATCTGTCTTTCCATGTCCTACAATTACAATTAAAATACAGAGTAAATTACAATTTACAGTAGCATCCAATACAGAAAATACTTGGAGACACATTTAATGTAATATTTGTAAAAGCTCTAAACTGAAAACTGTGATACATATCTGAGAAAAGTGAAAGAAAACATGAGATGGAGTGATGTATCATATTCATTGACTGTAAGACTCATTGTAAGATGTCACAAATCTATAAATTAAATGAAGTTTGGATCAGAGTCCTGGGAGGCTTTTTTTGTAGATTGTCAAGCTGATTCTAAAATGTATGTAGACATTCAAAGAACCTAGGAGCGCCAAAATGCTTGCACAGGAAGAACAGATTTGAAGGTCTTTTGCCGTGTGACTGCAAGCCTTAGTATAAAGTTACAAGTAATGGGTGGTATTGCTGTGAGGGCAGACATAAAAATAAATGAAACAGCATAGAGATTCCAGAAATCGGGCCATGGATATTTGTTGAGCTGACTTTCAAAAAAGGTGTCAAGTCAATTCAATGGGGGAAAATAAAATCTTTTCAACAAATGTTGCTGGGACAAGTGGACATGGAAGAAAAGAAAAGTTTAAAGTCATGACACATACGACATTACTTAAATTAATTCAGAAAAATATCTGTGAATTAAGTGTTAAGCTGTAAAATGTCTAAAAATTATTTTTGTGAGTTTTGAATAGGCAAAGATTTCTTACACAATTATTACAAATGTGAAAAATAAAAGAAAAAAACAAATTGAACTTTGTCAAACTTGCATGGAAATTATACTTGTCGAAAGGTGATTTAAAAAATTAATCCAGTGATAGTACTGCAAATTATGATAGAAAAAGAAATACATAATGTGACTGAAAATACCCTAATAGAGAAATGATGAAGTTTCCCTGTGAGAATATCTGAAAGAAAACATAAACTGCAAAGACAATTACCCAGTTGAAAAAATAAAATAAAACAAGATTGGAGGCAGAAATTTAAAATAGCTTTTAAAAATGCATGAGATAAAAAATGTGGAACAAGGGTTTAGCCCTAGCAATAATTTTGAACTATATTTTTTAAAAACAAAGCAAAACAAAACTTGCATATCTGAATAATTTGTGTAACAGACCCATCAAGAAATGTTTCTTGTGGAAAAGCAAGGCGTGTTCTTGTTAAGAACTTTCCCTAAAGCAATACTTTGAACAAAGCAAACTTTCTCTACACAAAATGGGTGAGTTCTACAGCTGATGAATCATTTTTAGTTCAGCATTATGCTTATAACTCAAAATCTGTTACTATTCATGGCCCATGGACTCATGCGTGACTCTCTTAGAGGGGAAGCTACAAATTTTGATTAACAAAAATAACAGGAGAGTTTTGCCACAATTTCTCTGTAAGTTACTAAAGCACTATTAAACCTACTTGATAGAATGTGCAACGGACAAATGCACAAGTGAGGGAGGAAGCCAGTTCCTACTCTAGATTTCTTTTGGTGTACACTGAAACATGGTAATAGCATGGTTTCTAAGGATATGGTGGTGGTTGGCAATTGGCAGACATGGCAACTAGTTTATACTCTCAAATGGACATTCATTCTTTGAGCGTGTACAAAATCTTTTTTCCCAGCTTGTCTCTTTCTCTAGAATGCAGGGCCTTGTCTAAGTACAATAATGTGCCTCAAAGAGGCCTTGCTTCATAGCAAAGGCACAATCTCAGCAGGACCAGGGTATGTATCAAAATAGGACACATGTGCTATCTGGTATCATTCATGTAATTTTCAGGAGGTTTTACCTGACGGTATATATTAGGTTGCCATGCAAATTATTACCTCCAAACCTGATCAAGGCACCCATCATACAGTCAAATCATTGCCTTATATCAAACACTATCTGCTCATTTTTACAGAGTCCTTTTTCTATCAATGAATCTTCTCAAGTCCTAAGAGGAAACTCCTCCTCTGTTTCTTGCATCAGTAGATTGTTCAGCCTTTACCCAAGAAATCTAACTGTTCTCTACTTTTTTTTTGTCATTTCACTTACTATGACTGCAGACTTCTGAGTTCTGGTCATCTTGGAGTTTCTTCAAGTTTTTATGCCATCGGCAACACAATGGTGTGCTCTGTGTGTTCAATTCTAAGACTGCATATAGCCATTGGAATATACTTAGTGAGATCTGCTAGATTATAATACAGTCATAATTAGGTTCACATATTTGGGGAATAAGAAACATCTTCGACATCAACAGGGTACTGGTTAGTTCTGTACCAATGTAATTCTACATGGGTTGTCAGATCTAGGACAAATATAATTTATTGGCTGTTCTCTTCTTTTGACACCAGCCACTGGAGGTCATTCTCTACTTCTAGCCTCAGAAGCTTATGTTCTTTTTAAAAAAAAATCCAGAATCTGAATCCCATTGCTACAGAAACTGATTTGTCAATGCATTCTGAAACTGTGCAAAAGGGACAAAGGAAATACAAAATACAACTCTCACTCTATGTTCCTGTATTTCTTTTTTATTCCCCTCAGAACTGAATTTGCAGGATTTAATGGCTGGATGACAGTCCCATCCTAAGGCACTTAAAAATGCTCGTGACAATGCTGTTCATTCATTATGCGAATACAAAAACTGTGCAAAAAAAAGCCTGGAACTCAGCTCACGGATAATTGCTTCTTTATTTTCCTGAATGCTTCTTTGCTAGAATAGCCAAATTTAACATCCTGGTTTCTCTTTAGCTGGTTACAATCTAACTGTTCCCTGAACAGTGTCTTTCTAGCTGTACTCAGGAAATGTAGACTTTGCCACTTCAACTCCATTGGACTAGCACTGCCATGCAAGAATATTTTAATAATTTCTTTTGATTATTTTGATGCTTTCCTTATGAAACCAAATATTTTTTTTTATTATACTTTAAGTTCTAGGGTACATGTGCACAAAGTGCAAGTTTGGTACATAGGTATACATGTGCCATGTTGGTTTGCTGCACTCATTAACTCATCATTTACATTCGGTATTTCTCCTAATGCTATTCCTCCCCTTGCCCCCCATCCCCCAACAGGCCCTGAGTGTGATGTTCCCTGCCCTGTGTCCAAGTGTTCTCAGTGTTCAATTCCCACCTATGAGTGAGAACATGCAGTGTTTAAAACCAAATATTTCTATTAGAGGTCTATCACTTTCTGTAGAATTGATGAATCTTCATAGAAAATGTATTTTTAAAGCAAAATCTGTTAAGTCGGTTTTCCATTTTGGGTGTATATATATATTTAAAACATTCTTATTTACTTTCCCTATTTCGTTGATATTTTGCACATAATTATTTCCACCAGGATATTGAAAATTAAAATATAATACTTGACTCTTCTATTAATTTTACTCAATATAACATTTCGACAATTTTACATAAGTTATTGTGGGTTAGCTGTTCTAGATGTTATTCTGTCAAGGCTCATTGTCCCAGGTAAAAACATTTGCAGATTTATATTTTATAAAAATATTTTATTCTATCATCAATTTTGAAAAATAAAAACAATTCCAAATGCAATATTAAACCTTTTCATTTGTATTTATTCTTTGGATATGATAATCTCTGTTTTCTCAGATAACCAGAATGACAACTACATCATCTTCAAAACGTTGCCACATACCCACCACAATCTGCTGAGTTTTAAGAGTACTCTTTTCCTATACTGCTCAGTTGCATTTGTATCTTTTTTGACATTTTCAAGCCACATGTTTTTCAAGTAGTTTGTTACGATCATAGTTACTAATTATTATTGCATCTATATTTTAGTAATGGAGAATGCTATTTGTGATGACGTATTCCAGCAGTACTTTTCACTATGAATTCAGTAAGAAATTATTATTTCTTACATATTACGTAAGAACTATTTTATGTTTTTCTCATAAGATAGAATTTTTTAAACTCACTTATTTTGGTGCCCATTTAAGTCATCAGTATAGATGCGATTATTTTATATACTTTGTTTTAATGAGTCATACAACTACCAGCAGAAGAAAGATAAAATTGTTAGTGTCAAACATGATGACTAAATGTCCTTTGGGTGAAAATATGAATGTTAAAATATTAATTGTGATCTGAAGCCATAAAACTTTCTACTAACAATGGAGTTTGTCAATTTATGTGCTTTATTAGGAGTATTTTGAAGCAAAAGGTATGACTCAAAAGACATTTTATAGTTTTGGATTTGTTGAAGATGCTATCTTAAAAATCTTTTAAATTTATGTGAGAAAGCTATCCACTAGTTTTTATTTAAGAACTCTTCAAGACAAACATTAATTAACATGTTCGAGACTTGTTGAGAACATGATTGGAAAATGCTGTCTCTGAACCAAAGGGCCTTGTGGCATTGGCTCTGTGATAATCCTTCCTTCTACGAAAAATGGAATGAAACTTGTCACTCTTTTTTCTGATACAAGATGCTGCAAATATCTCTAGACAATTCAACCCTGGAGAGATAATTTGTACATGTTTCAATAAAGTAGAGTGAATGAAAATTTATTATTCTTGGTGACATTCTTACGATATATTTGTTCTGACCTGAATAATCATATTTGATACTTTGATGTTTTTATTTTTAATAGCAAAAAAATCTCAGTGACTTGAATAAGGAAAATGTATTATAATTATACAGCATCACTGTCCATAATGTCTGCCCCAGTGTAAGTGATTAAAAATAGAATACTTCTTTCCTTTGAAGCTGTCATCGTATTCTGCTTCACTGGGTCGGGGAGGCAGATGCCTTTTTATTGGGCACCTTAACTCAATTCTAAGGATATAAGATGTTTCTTATCTGCTAGTTCTAGTTTTTAAGGTTTTTTTTTTACCTAGACAATCCCTTATTACTCCAATCCTCTGTTAGAGTTAATTATTTTAAATACAAAATTCTGCCTGTGCAAACTATTTTATGGTTTTGCTCTGCTGATAGGACCTTTTTTGATAGAGTAGAACATCATAATTTATTGAAAGGAAGAACTACAATCAGTAACAATATGGGATAGCAGGTATTTGATACTGAGGTAAGTAGTCTCTAAATATGGCAGCCAACAATTCCTTCCATCCTGGTACACTCATGCCCTTCCTCAGGTAACAGATGAGTTTATTTATATTATCCTTTATTTTGGAAGAAATTATGTCCGGATTTGACAGACAAAATGTGACAGAAGAGTGCACTGTTATGGAACCCAGAAGACATGCCGTTTGGAAGCCAGGCTAGACTATTGAACAATTAAAGACTATATGGAGAGAGACAGAGAGTGAAAAACCATCTCCCAAACAGTCTTTCAATCTAGTGGAATTATGTCAAAGACTCCAAGTGAGACCAGCAGAACTTCAAAACTGACCCTGGGTAACTCAAAGAATCATAATTAATAGTAAGTTATTATACTGGATTGTTTTGTAAAACAGAAACAAATGATTCAAACAGTAACCTGGAAATCATAGGTAAACGTGGGTATTACTATTCTCAGAGACTTGAGTAGGCAGGAACGAGACAACCAGCCTTCTCACAGACCAGACCCTCACCCTTCTTTCTTTCTTCTTCAAGAAATATCTGTCTTAGGCAGGAAATGTGTAAAAGTTTATGTAAACACCCAGAATCCTACAATAATTTCTGTTACTCACCTGGTACACCAATAATTAGTTAAAATATATTGCCGGTTTCCTGTAGGCATGGCAGGTGGCATGCTAATCTGCTGGTTATAAAATTAAACAAGATACACAGATAAACTGAATAGGGTTGAATTAGGGGCTTTGGAAGACCTCAGTAAGGATGCTCCCACAATGGCAATACAGCTCATTAAGAGATTAAGTGCCCAAGGCTGGTTATAATGAGTAGTGAAACAGCAAGAACATAATGTCCCAATTTGTAAATGTAATAGTGCTGTGCCTATGGAAAACCTTTACTATTTTAGAAGGTTAATGAAAGAAATCCCTATGCTATATCCATCACCTTGATTCGCTTATTAAATGCCCAAGATGATTCACATCTCACTGAAATTGAAATAGATTTGTTTTCTTAAATACACCTTCCTGGCACCTTTTAAAGAAGGCAAAGCTAAAGCTGAGAAAGTTCACAGGAATTGGGTAATGAAGAATTTGCTCAGCTAGCGTGACAGTCACATAGTCTAGATGGAGACAAGTGTCTGCTCAGGAGTCATTAGTTTAGGAACTCCAGGCATCAGGTCTTGATTGGCACATGTGATCACTTCTGCTTACAACAGCAGCTATAGTGGAGTAGCCTGCATGCACCACAACAGCCACACTGGCGATTAGTTCTCCTAAAGCAAGACGCCAAAGGGAAGAAAATAAAAGAGGTTGCTATGTATTTAATTGTGTCCCTAAGAACAAGATATGTTCTAGTCATAACCCTAAGTACCTCAAAATGTGAACATATTGGAAATAAGATCTTTGCAGATGCAATGAGTTAAATTAGAATGAGGTCATGTTGAAGTAGGCTAGTGTCCTAATCCTAGAAGCCTGGTGTCTTTAAAGAAGGCAGAGACACAGGCTCTGTGAAGACTGAGGATTGGAGTGATGACTCTACAAACTGTGGAATGTCAAATAGTGCCAGCCAACTACCAGAAGCCAGGTAGAGCCAGGAAAAGATTCCCTTATGTTTCAATGTGAGCATGGCCCTGCAGATACTTTGATTTTGGACCTCTAGTATCCTGAACTGCTAGACAATAAAATTTTTTTTAAGCCACCTAGTTTGTAGTACTTGGTTACAGCAGCCCTAGGGAACTTAATACAAAGGTCAATCTCTGCCTGTACAACATAAACAAGAATAATTACAATCCCCAGGCCCCCAATCCACACACACACACACACACACACACACACACACACACACTCCCTACAGAACAAGAACAGTAGCAACAACAACAAAAATGAAATGTACCTTCTTTTGATTTATCCTCATGTCTACTCCTCGAGAACAATCACATAAAAATATTTTCACAGAAGCTGTAACTCTATGTCCAAGTCCAAATGACCCTAAGAAACATTAATATACCAAAAATTGAGGAGCTTTTGAAAGTAGTGATTATATAAGTAATAAAGAATCTTGAGGAGAAAGAAGTTGAAGCTACAGAATTTTATCAAGTGTCCAGGTTAGAAATAAAGAACTAAGGCAATGAAGCTGTCCCCATTCCTTCAACTCCTACTGATAATTTGTTGTTTATAATTCTAGGGAAAGGATTCTTAAAAGGACAAAAAGAAGCAGTTCAGGAACTTCATTATAAATCATAATCATGAAATTATAATGCAATATTTTAAGGAAGACATATAATGTTTTAATTCTAATATGGAAATCACAGGGGTAGGTTATATACAATGCCAATAATCATCCCAATTATGGTCTCAGTTTGGCTGGTACAAAAGTCAGATGGGTTCTGGCAACTATTTGTAGAATATAAATAGAATTATTTATAAATTTTAAAAAAGGTTGCAGCAATTAGATGAAAACTGTGACCACATTTCTACATTGAAAGATGATTTTTAATTTCTGATTGGTATGCAGCCATTGATTTGGCTTATGTGATCTTACGAGTCACTGCTAATGCTGGATATCAAGAGCAATTTGTTTTTCTCTTTTATGGCCAGAAGTTTGATTTAGTGTTTTCCGAGCCACCTGGATATTTAAATTATCTGGCATGATATCATAATCCACTAAGATGAGCTTTAAACAGATGGCCTCAACCTAACTCAAATGCTAAAGTTGCTCATTACATTGGTGCCGTATTAACAGCAGTAATTGTGAAAAAATTGTGTGATGCTCTGTCTTTATTGATTTTATTGCAAAAAAGGGTGTGTTATTACATAGAAAATCATATACATGGCTTCCCAGACAGTATAGTCCCAGTTATCAGGGACAAATATACTCAAGACTAGACAGAAACTATTATCCTTGAGCCCCCTAAATACCAAAACTAATACTTAGAAAGAAACTTTCTAATATATTTTTAGGAGCAGCATTTATCACATCTAGTATGATCATGCCTCTTAATATGGTTGCTTTAAAATTTTTTAAAAAAATTTTTAGATATTATCTCATTCTATCACCGAGGCTGGTCTGAAGTGGTGCAATCATGGCTCACTGAAGCCACAACCTCCTAGACTTAAGCGATCCTCCCACCTCAGCCTCCTGAGTAGCTGGGACTAAAGGCACATGCCACCATACCCAGCTAATTATTTAAATTTTTTATAGAGCTGGCATCTTCCTATGTTGCCCAGGCTAGTCTTGAACTCCTGGGAACAAGCGATCCTCTCGTCTCGGCCTCCCAAAGAGCTGGGATTACAGGCCTTTTTATAAGATTAATAAAATGTGTCAAAATCATTTCAGTTATGAGCTATGTGGGGTCTTAAGATAACAAGATGCCTCCCAACTTTTGTGTTCACTTACTCATGTATTCAACAAGTATAAGCACTTACTTAATGCAAGTGCTGATCTAGAAAACAGGATCATAATAATGAAAAATTAAAAAGATATTCTCAAGGAGGTTATATTCCAGTTGAAGACAGACAATACATTTTAAAAATACATATGTAAATGCATTACATATCACAGGATAATGAACACCAAAGATAAAAATAAAGCAAGAGACAGAATTAGGATGTAATAAGAAAGATACATTGCTTACTAATAGAGAATTGTCAGGAATGGGTGCACTTACAAGTGGTATTTAAGTAGAGATACCACAGTGGCCAGAAAGGCTACAATGGAATGGAATGAATGGGGTGGCCAGAAAATGAAAACTTCAATATGAATAGATGTGGAACACGCAGGATAGGACAAAGCGTGGATCCACAACTTGCCATTACTTCCCTTGATATTGGCTAGTCTCCCAGTACAGCACTGGCAGGGATCATTATTGCTACCTCTTGATATCCTAGGAACTTTGTAGTCATCCTCAGAAATGTTGCCAAGCTCATGGATTGCTTTGCTAATATTGCTTCCCAGATCTTTGCAAATGACGAATCAGCCTTGTAGGGGCACAAAGAATTGAAAATCATTTTCATAGCATGTATACGCATCCTAAAGTGTTAAAATTATTGAAACATATCCCTAGTCAGGAGCCAATGGATTGTACTATATTGTTCTGGTCATTGGCCTTTCAAAAACTGGAATTATCTATCTAAATCTCTGTGAACAGCTCCTTCTAGGCTCACTTGGCTGACATGTGTGACGAAGTTGAAACCCTTGGTTCCTATGTAGATTTTGTGGGTGAAATTTCATATTAAATCAACACTTGATGCTCTGACAAAGCCAAAAGCTTTTTATGAACAGTCAGATCCACAGATACAGTCCAAAGAATGCATAAGTGGGTTGCCCATGGATGAAGAACTGCTATTCAGTATCTATAAAACCCAATTTAGAAGTTTCTGCATGTATCAAAAAAACAGTTTCAAGGTACCAAAGATGGCAACAGAACTGATTGTCTTCTATGGGTCTATAGTTGGTTTAGTGCCTGGGACCCATGTCTTTATAGGGGCATTTTAGGAAAGGTATTAATATTACATAAATATATACAATAATCTGGTTGATTTTCCTATTTATAATTTAGATATTTATTTTCAGACAGGTTGCTGCTACTTCTCAAAGTATAAATAAGCATGTGAGGTGTTGCATAAACATTAAATACCTTAATTTCACCATGCCATAATATACACATATGTCAAGACGTCATGTCACACATCATAAATATATACAATTTTTGCTGGTAAATTAAAACTATTTTAAATCAACTGTATGGTTTTATTCATGTTTGTGGCTATTTCTCTTAGACCTAATAAGGCTTTTAGCAAACATTTGTTGAATGCATGGCTAGAACAAAAACATAATTAATGATCGCATTCATTTTCTACTTTTTCTTTATGTAGTACATTGCTTTGTTTTATTTTCCTGTGACTTCCCTTCGTATCTCTTGGCAGAGAAACCTCAAAACTTTGTCTCCAGTAATCATTGTCCTGAAGTCCAATACTATATTTCTAATAGCCCATTTGACAAATATAATACATTTCTCTATGAAATGCAGAAAGCAATTGCAACAAAATCAAAAATTGACAAATGGGATCTGATTGAAGAGGTTATGAATAGCAAAAGAAACAATCAACAGAGCCAACTTACGGAATGGGGGAAAATTTTTGCAAACTATGCATCTAACAAAGGTCTAATATCCAGTATCTATAAGGAACTTAAAGAAATTTACAAGAAAAGACAAACAACTCCATTAAAAAGTAGACAAAGGACATGAACAGATAATTTTCAAAAGAAGACACGCATGAAGCCAACAGTCATATGAAAAAAAAAGCTCAAGATCACTAATCATTAGAGAAATGCAAATCTCACAGCAGTCAGAATGGCTATTATTAAAAAGTCAAAAAATAACAGATCCTGTCGATGTTGTGGAGAAAAAGGAATGCTTATACACTTTTGGTGGGAGTGTAACTTAGGTCAACCATTGTGGAAGACACTGTGGCAATTCCTCAGAGACCTAAAGGCAGAAATACCATTCGACCCAGCAATCCCATTACTAGGTATGTACCCAAAGGAATATAAATTGTTCCATTATAAAGACACATGCACTTGTATGTTCATTGCAGCCCTATTCACAATAGCAAAGACACAGAATCAACATAATACCCATCAGTGATCAGTAGATAAAGTAAATGGGATACACATAAACCATGAAATACTATCCAGTCATAAAAAAATAATGAGATCACATCATAAATTGTTCCATTATAAAGACACATGCACTTGTATGTTCATTGCAGCCCTATTCACAATAGCAAAGACACGGAATCAACATAATGTCCATCAGTGATCAGTAGATAAAGAAAATGGGATACACATAAACCATGAAATATTATCCAGTCATAAAAAAATAATGAGATCACATCCTTTGCAGGGACATGGATGGAGCTGGAGGCCATTATCCTTAGCAAACTAATGTAGGAAGAGAAAACCAAATACTGCATGTTCTCACTTACAAGTGGGAGCTAAATAATGAAAACCCAAGGATACATAGAGGGTAACAACACATGCTGGGGTCTGTTGGAAAGTGAAGGGTGGGAGGAGGGAGAGAGTCAGGAAAAATAACTAATGGGTACTAGGTTTAATATCTGGGTGATGAAATAATCTGTACAACAAACCCCCATTACACAAGTTTACCTATATAACAAACCTGCACATGTAACCCTGAACTTAAAGGTTAAAAAAATACATAAAATGTACCGATGAATGCTAAAAAATAAAATAAAATAAATTCTAAATCCATATATCTTAAAATGAAAACTTGAATGACAAATTAAAATAATTATTTAAAATATTTTGTCACACTTTCCTCAGTATAAGTTTGTGTAAATTCAAAATGTGCATTCTGTTTTTGAAAAAAATCTCATATAGTACATTGTTTTCCTTATTGCTTAAAACACGTTTGTAGGAGGAATATAATGATATTATAAACCACTTAACTTTCATTTATTGGGATAATTAACATTTCAAAATAATTAGTTTTAGATGTGGTTTATGGGAAATATGCTTTCGAAGAATGGCCTGAAACTTTATCTATTTGGATATTTTGTCATAGCATTTTAATAAAGAAACAGACTGATTTTAAATGACAGTTGTAATTTTCAATTTCAGTTCTGAAAAGCAGGGTTTTATAATCTATTTTTCCAAGTCATATATCTGAAATACAATCTCCATTTTTATTTGCATTTGGTTTATATACTAAGTATAAAAAGTTTGCTTTTACTTACATAAAAACATTAAAGAAAATTAAATAGTATACATCAAATGTTAAAATAAAAAATTTAAATGTTTTTACATATTATAATAGTATTACAATATAGAATTAAGAAGCCATATAATAGTATTTTGTAACATGCTCATATAAGATACTGGCTTTAAAATTAACATCATGTAAAAATGATAAAGACATATAAAAATTCCTTCCAAATTTGGTAAGATTTCATATTGCTATAATATACAAAAAATCAGGAAATTTTTGCTATAAGCCAAAGTATAAGTAAAATTTTTGCTATAAGTGAAATTAGATAATGTAATTATTTATATGTTGGAAAAATCTATCTTAGTGCATGTGTGAATGCGTCTCTAGATAGATAAGAATGTATTGTAATTTTTGAGACCAGGTAAAATATAAGCCTGAATTATGACACTATAGTGACAACGGGGATAGAAAATGATTCAATATATAACATCTTAAGAGGGCAGGACCTTTAATATTATAGTAATGACTAGCTATAGCTTTAGGGAGAAAGATTCTAGAATGTGTTGCATTTTTGCTTCTTTAATTTGGCTTATATTCTCACTCACTCAAATAACCCATGACTCAGAATGTTTAGAGAGGACCCTGTATCACTGTAGAAGGAAGGGAGGAGAAAGAGCTAGAAACAGATGAATTATTATGAATTTAGTTCTGAACTTGCTGAGTTAGAGATTCTATGAGACATCAGGTTGTAGTTGACAAATGTGTGTGTAGGAAGTCAAGCTTGGGATAGAGAATTGGGAGTTATGGTGGTCATTAGTATTGCTTTCTGGGTACTATGCTGTGCTAATTATTTTATATTTATTATTTCTTTTAATCTACCAAATGGATTCAGATGTTAAACTCTATTTTCCCATTTGAGGGATGAATTCTCAGATGGACATGGATATAAAGTGTGTTTCCCAAAGTTGCAAAGTTGAGTGGTAAATGGCAGAACTTCAAGTTCCGGTCTATCTTATGCAAATTCTGTGTGAGTACCCCCTGCAATATATGGATCACATTTAGTAGCACGAAGACATGAAGAGATGAAATTAGCTCTGGGAAATCTCAGCATTTAAAATGCGGAAAGAAACATCTGCAAAGAAGACAGAACATTAGGGGGAAACCCAAGAAAGAGAAAAGTCTGGAGAAAAAAAGTGGAGTGGCGAATATGTGCAATTTTTCAGTGAGCTTGATTTTGAACACCAAAAATAAAAAAGAGCAAAATAACGAAAATATATTGCAGAGAATGAACACAATGGCCACGGATGACTATGTTACAAGTTGAGTCTTCAATTATGACATAAACTGTGATAGAAGATTATCAAAAATGTTTTACTCTTTCAAGTAAGTTGCAAGTGTCCTCTGGTGAGAGACAGTTCTCATCAGTCAGAACAGTACACATTCTACAAGTGACAGCCTTCTATTTTTGTTAAAAGTGAATATATTCTGTTTTTGAATAAGGTAGGTTAGAAATAAACACAGGTGATAATACTTTATTCTAAATTTTCTACTGTTTGCTCAAAAGATTGCAACTGTGTGTGGCCAAAAGGCTTAGGGATACAATGATGTCTATTATAGACATATCTGCTTCTCTGGCTCAAAAGCCAACTTTTTCTAATATTACACACTGAAAACAAAGGATCTTTATTTCTATAAATTTTTTTTTTCTTTTTCATAGGCACAATTCAGGTGCAACATAAAAGGAATTTCTCTTCTGCTTAAAATGGTCTAGTATTACTTTAATGTAAAATGTTTCATGGAGGGTGACAAAATTTAACAGATTGAAATTTGAGAAATATGCTGCTGTAAATGAGAAGTCTTGATATACTAAGAACTCAGAGAGCAATGATGAATTTCAATCTTTACTTTCTGTTATTTTATCTCTGATTTTATAAGTTCAAGTATCAAGCTTTTCCTAATAACAGCTCCTAGTACTTATTGGGAATTTAACTCTCTTAGGTATTCTTTATTTTTTATACATCCATGTTTTTTTCTTTTATTAAGACAATTAATAAATCTAAAAATCCATATATTTTTGGTGGTGCTTTGGTATATGTATACATATGAAAGATTAAATCAAATTTAAATCAAGCTAAGGGACATAACCATAACCTTACATATTTATCTTTTTTTGCTGTGAGAACATTCAAGATCTACTTATTTACCAATTTTCAAGAATACAATGCATTGTTATTAAATCTACTCACCATGCGATACCATAGATATCCAGAACATATTCCTCCTATCTGACTGAAGATGTTTACCCTTTGACCAAAATCTCTGTATTTCCACTCCCATCCCCAAGATCCAACAACCACCCTTCTGTATCCATGTGTTTTCATCATTTAGCACCATTGTGTCTGCCGCCTGTATGAATTCAACTTTTTTATATTCCACGTGTAAGTGAGATCAGGCAGTATGTCTTTCTGTTCCTGGCTTATTTACATAGCATAATGTCCTTCAGGTTTCTCCATGCTGTTGCAAATAACAAGGTTTCTTTCTCTTTTAATTCCATTGAGTGTGTGTGTGTGTGTGTGTGTGTGTGTGTGTGTGTGTATCACATTTTCTTTTTCCATTCATTTGTTGATGGACACAGGTTGATTTTATAAATTGGCTATTGTGAATAATGCTGCAATGAACATGGAAATGAAGATATTTCTTCAGCAAATGGATTTATTTTCCTTTGAACATATACTCAGCAGTAGGATTTCTGGATCATATTGTAGTTCCAGTTTTAATGTCTTGAAGAAGCTTTATACTGCTTTCCATAAATGCTGTACTAATTTGCAATCCCAAGAACAGTATACAAGGTTTCTCTTTTCTTCACTTCTACATCAATACTTGTTTTCTTTCATCTTTTTGATAATAGCCATTCTAACAGGTGTGAGGTGATATCTCTTTGTGGTTTTAATTTGCATTTCTCTGATAAATAATGATGTTAAATATATTTTTATATATCTGTTGGCCATCTGTGGGTCTTCTTTTGAGAAATATCTATTCTGATTCTTTGCCTATTTTTTAATCAGGGCATTTGGGAGTTTTATTTGCTATTAGAGTGTGATTTGCAAATACATTCTTCAGTTCCCTAGATTGTCTCTTCACTCTGCTGTTTCCTTTGCTGTACAGAGCTTTTGAGTTTTAAGTTTTATTTAATTCCATTGGACTATTTTTGCTTTTGTTACCTGTGATTTTTGGGTCATGCCTCCCCCCAAAATATTACTCAGACCAATGTTCTGGAAGTCTTCCTGTATTCCATTAGTGATTTCATAGTTTCAGGTCTTAGGTTTAAGTCTTGTCCATTTGGGGTTGATTTTTGTAAATGGTGGAGATAAAGGACTGTCCTTTCCCTACTGTAGATTTTTGGTAACTTTATCAAATAAATCCACTTACCATAAATAAGTGGATTTATTTAAGAGGCTTCTCCTCTCATATTGGTCTATATAACTGCATTTTGTCAGTAGAATGTTGCTTACATTTTTATAATTTTGTAGTAAATTTTGAGATCAGGTAGTATGATGTCTTTAGCTTTTTTCTATTTATTCAACAGTGATTTCCCTATTTAGAGTGTTTATGGTTTCATACAATTTTAGAATTTAGGTTTTTTCTATTTCTGTGAAAAAACTGAATTTTAATAAGGATTACATTGACTCTGCAGATTACTTTGAGTATTTATGGCATTTTAACAATATTAATTTTCCAACTCATGAACATGAGATCTCTTTCCATTTATTTGTGTTTTCTTCATTTTCTTCTATCAGTGTTTTATAGTTTTCAGTGTATAGATCTTTCACCTCCTTGGTTAAAATTTTTTCCTAAGATTTTTTAAATACTACTGTAAATGGGATTGCTTTTTTGATATCTTTTTCAGATAGTTTGTTGTTAGTGTACAGAAACACTACTGAAACTTTTATGTCAATTTTATATCCTCTACCTTTACTGAATTTATTAGTTCTAACAGTTTTTTTGGTGGTGTCTTTAGGGTTTTCTGTATAAGATCATGTTATCTGCAAACAAGGACAATTTAACTGCTTCCTTTCCAACCTGGATGCCCTTTATTTCCTTTTCTTGCTTGATTGCTCTGGCTAGGACATTCAGTAATACGCTGAATAGAAGTGGCGTGAGCGAGTACTCTTGTCTAGTTTCTAATCTTAGAAAAAGATTTCAACTTTTCACCTTTGAGTGTGATGTTAACTTTGGGTTTATAATATACGGCCTTTATTATGTTGAGATAGATTACTTCTACACCTAATTTGCTGAGAGTTTCTTATCATGAAAAAACGCTAAATGTTGTCAAATGCTTTTTCTGCATGTAGTAAGATGATCATTTTGGTTTTGTTCTTTGTTCTCTTAATGTGATGTATCACATTTACTGATTTACATAAATGGGAACATCCTTGCATTCTAGTGATAAATCCTACTTGATGTTGAAAGATGTTTTAACGTGTTTTTGAATTCAGTTTGTTAGTATTTTGTGGGCAAGTTTTAGAACTATGTTCATCAGGGATATTGATTGGCCTGTAATAGTTGATTTTTTTCTTGCAATGTCCTTGTCTGGCTTTCATATTAGGGAAATTCTGGTCTCACAAGATGAGTTAGAAAGTGTTCCCTCCTATTCAATTTTTTGGATGAGTTTGAGAAGGACTGATATTAATTCTTAATTGTTTCATAGAATTCAGTAATGAAGGCATCAGGGTCCTAGAATTTACTTTGATGGAAGATTTTTATTGCTGACTTAGCCTAGTTACTTGTTATTGCTCTGTTCATCTTTTTTATTTCTTAATGATTCAGTCTTGGTAAGTTATATCTTTCTACAACTTTATGCCTTTCTTCTATATTATCCAATTTGTTGGTATATAATGGTTCATACAAGACTTTTATGGTTCTTTATATTTCTGTGGTATCAATTGTAGTGTCATCTTTTTGATTTCTGATTTTATTTCTTTGGGTCTTCTCTTTTTATTTCTTAGTAGTCTAGCTAAGGGTTTTTCAGTATTGTTTATTTTTTCAAAAAATAAACTTTTAATTTTATTATCTTTCCAGTCTGTGTTTCACTTACTTTTGCACTGATAATTGTTATTTTTTTCCTTCTACTAACTCTGGGTTTACTTTGTTCTTCCTTTTCTAGTTTCTTGAATTGTACCATCAGGTTATTTGAGAGCTCTCTACTTTTTTAATGTAAGCATTTAATTTATTGGGTATGTATTTATTTATTTATTTTGAGATGGAGTCTCACTTGGCCACCCAGGCTGGAGTACAGAGGCGCAATCTCAGCTTACTGCAACCTCCGCCTCTGAGGTTCAAGCGATTCTCCTGCCTCAGCCTCCCCAGTAGCTGGGACTACAGGTGCTCACCACCGTGCCCGGCTAATTTTTGTATTTTTAGTAGAGATGGTGTTTTGTCATGTTGGCAAGGCTGGTCTTGAACTCCTGACCTCAGGCTATCTGCCTGTCATGGCTTCCCAAAGTAATGGGATTACAGGTGTGAGCCACTGCAGCCAGCTTATTGTTATAAACCTCCCCTTTAGAATGGCTTTTGCTGCATCCTATGTTTCAGTATGTTCATTTCCTTTTTTGTTGACCTCAAGATACTTTAAAATTTTTCTTTTACTTTCTTCTTTGACCTACTGGTTGTTCAGGAGTTTATAGTTTAATTTCCACATATTTGTAAATTTTATAAAATTATATCCTTTTGTTTATTTCTACTTTCATACCTCTGTGTCAGAAAAAATACTTGATATGATTTCAATCTTCTTAAATTTGTTGACTGATTTTGTAGTCTAATATTCAATCTATCCTGGAGAATATTCCATTATACTTGAGAAGAATGTGTATTCTACTGCTGTTGGATAGAATGTTGTGTATATGTCTGTTAGGTCTATTTGTTCTAAAGTGTAATTTGAGTCCACTATTTTCTTATTGATTTTCTGTCTGGATGATCTATCGCTCTTTAAAATGCGTACGAAAATTCCTACTATAATTGTATTTCACTTCTCTCTCCCATTGTATCTGTTAATATTTGTTTTATATATTTAGCTGCTCCAATATTGGGTGCATATATATTTACATTTGTTATATCCTGTTCATGAATTAACCCCTTTATTTTTACATAATTATTTTCCTTGTTTCTTTACAGTTTTTGATCTAAAGTCTACATTGTCAGATATAAATAACTTCCCCTACAATATTTTGGCTTCCATTTGCATGAAATATCTTTTTCCATCCCTTCATTTCCAGTCTATGTGTTCCTTATGGGTAAAGTGAGACTTTTGTAAGCAGTATATATTTGGGTCTTTTTTTTTTTTATTTTTATACATCCATTCAGTCACTGTATGTCTTTTGTTGTACTTACTAGTGAGTATTGTACTTTCATGTTACTAATTATCATCCATTTTTTTTCACCTTGAAAAAGTCCCATTAGCATTTCTTGAAAGGCATATCCAGTGATGATGACCTTCCTCAGCTTTATTTGTCTGGGAAAGACTTTTTTTCTCCTTCATTTCAGAAGGACATCTTTGTGAGTTAAAGTATTCTTTCTTGGCAAAATAACCACATTCTTGTTCCCTTTCATCACTTCAATTAGATAATCCCACTGTTTTCTGGCCTGCAAAGTTTCTGCTGATAAATCCACTGGTTGCCTTATAGAGGATCTCTTATATGTGAATAACTGTTTTTCTCTTGCTGCTTTCAATATTATTTCTTTGTCTTTGATTTTTGATAGTTTGACTGTAATATGTCTTGGTATAGCATTCTTTGGATTGTACATGATTGAGACATTTAAACCTCCTCTGGCTAGGTATTTATATCTTTTTGCAGACATGAAATGCTTTAAGTCAATATCTCCTTAAATATACATTCCATCCATTCCATCTATTCTCTCCTTCTTTTTAAAATTCTATAATGTAAATGGTAGCTCTCTTGCTGTCCCATAAATCTCATAGGCTTTCTTCACTTCTTTCCATTCCTTTTTTCCCTCTGACTGTGTACTTTTAAGTAATTGTCTTTAAGTTAACAGGTTCTTTCGCCCACTCGATCAATTCTGCTGCTGACTGACTCTTTTTCATTTTATTCATTGTATTCTTCAGCTTCATAATTACTGTTTGGTTCTTTTTGTATAATGCCAATCTCTCTGTTAAACATTTTCTGGATGTTGTTTAATTGTCAGTTTGTGTTGACTTGAAGTGTGCTGAACTCCTTAAAACAATTATTTTGAATTATTTGTCTGACAATTCACATATCTTAATTTCTTTGGTGTAAATCACAGGAAAATTATTGTGTTCTTTTTGTGGTGTTGATTCCTTGGTCTTCTATAGTTCTTGTTACCTTTCATTAATGTATGTACATTTCACCCCTTGCCAACTTTATGGATTGATTTTACACTGGAAAGTCCTTCCCTACAGGTATAAGTGATGGCACTGTCTAGGATGGGTGCAGATGTTCTGGCTCTGATGAGAATGCAGTGGTCATAGTCTCTGTGAAGCTTATCAGCTGATGTTGGTGTCAGCAAAAACCCCAGGGATCTTTAACAGCCAAGGCTGTGGCTATCTGCACCAATAACAAAGGCTTTTATAGTCTTTTTTTCTTCCATTGGGAAGTCATGGCTAAAGGAGTCTCTTCGCGTTGGGTCTAGCTTGTGGTTGTGTTCCCAGGAACACTGGCAACAGTGTCTAATGCACAACGTCCTTGGAGTGGCCACAGACCTGAGGCCTGAAGCACAGGTCTGAAGGGACCTAAAAGGCCTGAAGAGACCAAGTTTCTAGGTCCAGGGTGGTGGTGACACCAGTGTTTGTGACAGACACACCTGCTGTGACACTGGTAACAATGTGTGAAGCACAAGTGCTTGTGGAGCATCTGGGAAGCCAGAATCGAAAGTGTGAGCATGCGCTGAGTTACAGTGACTTGAAGCCAGGGAGATGAACTAGCCCATAGCAGCAATGACTCTGGCATCTGAGGTATGGTGCTCACAGTCCATCTCCAGAGCCAATATATGCAGTGCAGGCACATGAGGAGCTACGGTGGCTCCAGGGACTAGCTTCTTGTGATGATAGCTCAATTGTTAGCAGCGCAGACACTCACAGAAAGGTTGTAAAACTGCTCTCCATAGTGTGGGTGCACAGAGCAACTGGGGTCCCAAGGCCTGGGAAAGTGTTAGCCCTATCAGTGGTGGCTTCTTTGTTTGAAGTATGAGTTCATGCAATGTGGCCACAGACCTGTGGTTTTGAATGTAGGCAAGCACAGAACATCTACGGACAAGTGTCTGGGGTGTGGGCTCCCACAGGGTGAATATAGCCCTGGGACTGGGGTGCATGCAGGGTTGAGAGGGGTATTAGTTTCTGCCCCTGAGTTGCCACGACAGCAGTTCTTTTTTCAGTGGAGAGAACACAGCACTGTTTCCTTCTCAGGGGACTCTATGATGGAGATGGTTGTCTCAGTGATGAAAGCAGGCAGTGTCTTCTGCAAAGGTGAGTTCTAGGGACTGTGGTGGCAACCACTGTGTGACTGAGGCTGTCAGCTTACACACTTCTTTGTTCCCAGGGATCTCCATATATCTCAGGTATGACAGACTCCTTAGTGATCATTTCTGTGCTTATATATAAATATATATGTATAAATATGTTGTGTGTATATGTGTATACATACATGTACACATGTGTATTTATATATCAATATATATATTGATTTTCTTCTTTATGGTTCAATACGGAAGGGTCAAATTTGCTATTAGCTATTAACATTCAATATTATTATGTTATAATATCTAAAGTAAGAAACAACTTTTGACCAGTAAGATTATGTGTAGATGTATCATGTATCACTATATATTAAGTATTACAAATTTTAGAAGAAGTAGAATGAGGGAAAATCAGTTGGAAAGGTTTCTGTTGCAGGCACACAATTGGTTCCTCTAAAAAAGGAAAACATATGTTTGTTTGTTTTTCTTGCTTTCGTACGACCCAACTTTCATTACTACCAATGGAACTGTAGTTTGAAGCCTATCAGTTTCAATTAGTTCACCTCAAACCTGGTCAGAGAAGACAGAATACAAAAAAAAAAAAAAAAAAAAAAAAGGTTATTTCTCTCTTATGCCTCTGAAGACACATATCTTAGTTTATTTTCTGCTGCTATAACAGAATACCACAAACTGTGTAGCACTGTAAACAATAGAAGGTTATTTGGCTCACAGTTCTGGAGGCTGTCAAAGAGCATGGTGCTGGCATCTGGTGTGAACTTCGTGCCACAGTGAAAGGTGAAAGAGAAGGCAGAAACAAGCTCAATTGACAGAGAAAGCAAGAGAGGAGAGGCTCCCTCTCTCTCTCTTTCTTTTTTTGTTGTTGTTGTTGAGAAGGAGTTTCGCTCTTGTTGCCCAGGCTGGAGTGCAATGGCGTGATTACGGCTCACTGCCACGTCCGCCTCCTGAGTTTAAATGATTCTCCTGTCTCAACCTCCTGAGGAGCTGGGATTACAGTCATGCGCCACCACGCCCGGCAAATTTTGCATTTTTTTTTTTTTTTTTTTAGTAGAGACGGGGTTTCACCATGTTGGGCAGGCTGGTCTCGAATTCCTGACCTCAGGTGATCTGCCTGCCTTGGTCTCCCAAAGTGCTGGGATTACAGGCTTGAGCCATCGCACCTGGCCCAGGCTCTCTCTTATAACAATGTGCTTTTGTGATAACTGACCTATTCCTGCAGTAACTATTATTCATTATTCATTAATCTAATGAACTATTATTCATTAATCCATTCATGAGGACAGAGCACTCATGACCCAATAACCTTTTATTAGGCCCCATCTCCCAAAACTTGGGATTTGCATTGGGGATTAAGTTTCCAACACGTGATTTTCACGGTGGGGGCACATTTAAAACCTAGAAACATATATCTTCAGAACTATTAACCTTGAAAACAACCAAATTCTGTAAAACCTTTAAATATATATAAAAGATTACTGATATAAATTGATAAAAAATACTTTACTTCATTTGTTAACACGTCAATGTTTTTAAATTATTGATTCATTCAATAAATTTATTAATAAACACACATTGTGTATATAACTAAATGTATGTTGACAAAATAAATTCTGTAGTTTAATATTATTTTATGTATAAAATGTTCCTTGAAGTCATGCAGGCCTTCTGTTTCTAAGGTTCACCTTAGCAGTCCAGAAAAATCCTCATGAGTCAACAACAGGAATCTGTTGTTGAGTTGTAGAGTTTGAAATAAATAGTAATAAATAACGAATTTTGTTGCTAACTGGATGGTAGGTATTTTCTCATTTTTGTAAGACTATTGAAGTTCAAATCTTGTAGAATTTGCTGTTACTATAAGATAACTTCATTGGGAAAAGCAGAGAAGAGCAATTGGGTGTTCATACAAATAGAACTAAAAAGAAAACAAAATATTTTCCTCCCTTTGTGGATTGAAAGATTGCATGGGTGAAAATGATCAATTTTATTGACTCTAGTTTCCTATCTAAAGACTCCCAGACCTTGCATCTATGATGTAGTAGAACCTGTTAGAAAGGAAAAAAAAAAGTTTCAAAAGTAAAGACAGCTGGCATTACATGGTGATTTATTGGAGTCTAGCTTACACACACTGTTTCCCTTACTGATGGTAACTGGTCTGTACTCCTGAGATTACTTTTGGTAACCTCTTAGTGACTTCTACTTGACTTATAAAAATAACTTGGCTAAATTATTTGATAGTCTTTGTGTTGAAAATTTATTATTTTTTATAATATTTAAAGAACTGAAGGGCATCTATATTTAGAAACACTAAAATCACTTCAAAATAAACAACACTATATTTAACATATATTTAGGAGAAATTAAGAATTCACATGTTTTCACAAGCTCCAGAGTGAAAGAAACTATTTATTTTGAAGAAAAGGGGATTGACCTGATGATCAGGAATAAAGCCAGGGGCAAAAATTCAATCTTCATTTCTTCACATATTCAAAAGGGATTGTGCTAAAAATCTATCCTTTCACTTAACTATTATGTGAGTCTATGAAATATCAAGGAATTGTGATCTTTAGTTCTCTACAGATGTTTGAAATAAATCTGAGATTTAGTGTATTTTTTGAAGATAAATTCTAACGAGGTACATATTATCTTTTCATTTAAGTGAAGTAAAATTTATTTTATTAATAAAATATACTAGTAGAATATTATTACTAAAGATGAAACTAAATATGCTTTTTTTTTCAGTTCTTAAGTCTCTGAAATACAGCAGGTGTTCTAAATGAGGCAATAAAATTGGCACTACACCTCACAGTATTATTGTTCAGACTTAATTCCTGAAATAAAGCAATGACACATGAAATATATTCAATAATGTGCTCTAGTTTGTCTTTATATTGTATAAAAATAATGTGGGCCGGGCGCGGTGGCTCACCCCTGTAATCCCAGCACGTTGGGAGGCTGAGGCAGGCGGATCACCTGAGGTCAGGAGTTCGAGACCAGCCTGGCCAACCTGGTAAAACCTCCTTGTTAGTAAGAATACAAAAATTAGCCAGACGTGGTGGCTTGTGCCTGTAGTCCTAGCTACTCGGGAGGCTGAGGCAGGAGAATAGCTTGAACCCAGGAGGCGGAGGTTGCAGAGAGCCAAGATTGTGCCACGGCACTCAAGCCTGGGTGACAGAGTGAGACTCCATCTCAAAATAATAATAATAAATTTTTAATAAGTCTGTGTATTTAGTCCATTATATTGATGATTGAAGGGATATAAAAATGATTCTATCACTATCTGAAAAAAGTTAATTTATAGATTTACTAATTAATTTTATTTCTTACAGAATGATTTATATGATATTTACTTTCAGAATTAAATGAGAATGTTTGTATTTTTTAAAATTTAAAAGAATTACTTTATTAAATAGTATATATTTTTTATCTTTGTTGTGTGACAGTTTGTTTATATACCCATTTAATTAAGCTTATTAATGCATTTTTTTTTAGATATTCCTTATTCATTACCAATGTATTCTTGGCCTATCAGATCATAATTTTTTACTGTGAGTATGGATGCTTTCTAACAGTTCCAAAAAGTTCTGATTTATTTTGATACTGTTAGATGCACACACAGGTTTATGAATGTTGTATTTTAAATTATTTTAATAATAAGTTACTAATTTTATTACTATTTTGCTTCAGTTTCGTTCATGATCAATGTAGGAATAGAAACTCTGAGAGGCTATTTCTCAAAATATTGACTTTTTCAAAATCTTTTTCCTTTGCAAAAACACACTTATTCTCTACATTGCGTCCACTTTATACGTTTCGGTTTGAGTGATTTTCTTAATAACAAAGTTCACATGTTCACTGAATATCTACTCTGTGCCAGGGACTGCTGTTCTACATGCTATCAGTCATGTCAACAAACGTGTTTGCCTCCATGGAACTTGAATTCCAGTGAAGTAAACAGAGAATAAATGGTTCAAACAATAAAAAATAGAATACAATTGATGACAATAACTGCACTAATAAAGTCAGAGGAAGGAAATAGAAATGTCTGGTATGAGGTTGGAGACTCCAGAGTTTAAGTAAAGTGGCTAAGACTACACTGAAAAAAAAAAAAATGACGTTTAAGGAAAGACCCAAGAAGATGAGAGCTAAGGCAAGAGATATCTAAGGCAAACTGCTCAACTTAAAGACACAAAAGAAGCCAAGGCTCTAAGCTTTTGGGTCCTTTTTTAAGGGCTGGATAATAATACCGTATGCCTGAGTCACAGATGTAAGAGTCACACTAATAGACAAAAAAGGTAATTTCACCGATAAAATTAATATTGGAGAATATGGCTTAGTTTTTGCAAATTAAAGGCCAAATCAATATTACTCAAAGTGTAGACAGAGCCAATGCCACTAAGAGAGTGCATGGCCAAGAGCAAACTAGAACATATTCTCTTAGCAGCTAACAGATTTCAAAAGAGAAGAGAAGAGGGTGCTAACTCATGCATTTTAAGTCTCTTTTCCCCAAACAGCCACCAGAAAAGATAATGGGGCATGAAACCACAAGTTTAGGAAGATCCATCCCCTAAGAGCTCTATGAATAAACATGCCAAATTACATGACCAGAACATTTAACTTGTAATCTAATATCAACACATAGATTTATGGTAATTCTTACAATTTCTTCAAGAACAATGAGTAAGTAGCTGATTTTTTCACACAGACACTGTGATTTACAGAAATAAGAAGGAAGACAAAATAAACACTACTTATAGTCCACTCATAATGGTATGGAATTACACATAGAATTTAGGAACTTTGTTATATTTAAATGTGTTTATACATTTAACCACATACAGTATTTTAATAACAAAATGAAGTATAAAGTATAATTTTAATACTAGTTCCTAAAATATTCCATTTTTAAATAATTTTTAAAACAATGTTAACTTTTCATGTCTCCTGTCTCTATTTTTCTATTATGCTTCTAATCAATGTCCAAAAGTATTTTCTTATATTCTTTTTTATTTTATTTATTTATTTATTTATTTTTGGGACAGGGTCTCACTCTGTCGCCCAGGCTGGAGTGCAGTGGCACGATCTCGGCTCACTGCAAGCTCCGCCTCCCGGGTTCACGCCATTCTCCTGCCTCAGCCTCCCGAGTAGCTGGGACTACAGGCACCCGCCACCGCGCCCGGCTAATTTTTTTGTATTTTTAGTAGAGACGGGGTTTCACCGTGTTAGCCAGGATGGTCTTGATCTGCTGACCTCGTGATCCACCCGCCTCAGCCTCCCAAAGAGCTGGGATTACAGGCGTGAGCCACCGCGCCCGGCCATTTTCTTATATTGCTATTGGAATTTTCGGAATTTTCTTCTTAGTATCTGCTTTGAGTAAACCAGACTCCAGCATGCTACATCTTCTGCTCAGTCTGTACAAGTATGTTATTAACATTTCCATGAAAAAATAAACCCAGTGTATTAGTCAGAGTTCCCTATGGAAACACAATCAATGGGATATTGATATTGAAACAGAAACAGAGATTATAGCCCTTGGCTCATAGTTAAGGCCAAGAAGTTCAACAATCTGCCAACTGCAGGCTAGAGAAACAGAAAGCTGATGGTATGATCCAGTCCAAGTTCAAAGCCCCAAGAACCAGAAGCTCTGACATCTGAGGACAAACAGAGAGAGTGAATTCACCCTTTTTCTACTATTTTGTTCTATTCAGGCTCTCAACAGGTTGAATGATGCCCACTCACATCTTTATTCAGTCTAACATTTGAAACCGTCATAGACACATACAAAAATAATGTTTTTTCAGCTATCTTGGCATCCCTTAGCCAAGTCAACCTGACATATACTACTAATCATCACACCCAGTAATCACAGTTTAAGTCAGTTAACTAATACGTAACACAAGATGTGCTCTTACTGTATATGAAATGATGGGAAAAGACCAAAGATTATTTTAGCCTCACTGATGGAGAGAATATATGCTGTTAATGACCATTTTTTTGTTTACAGTTGTGCAAACATTTCTTATTTACATAGTAAAATATTTTTCAATAAAGTGTTATCTGAAATTGTTTTATATGACTAGGATAAATATAAGAAAATGTTGGTAATAATAACAATATATTAAACAACCTTGCTAATCTACCAAAACACAAAACTAAACGAATAAATTTGGCCTTAAAGAAATGTACCCCAGATATGAAAGACTTCAGTATAGAAAAAAATAGCAATACTAAAGAAGACATTGATGTCAATTATTTGGTGTCAAATTTGGTGTAGGTTATTGATAAAATATTTACTGTACTTTCTGATATGTTTACAATACTCTAAAATGTGGAGATTTAATGTTCTATCTAGACTATGTTTTGAGTAATAAACATTTAAAAGTTATTCTAAATATGTTTATTTAAAGTTGACTTGAAAAACTGGCAATAGATGGTAACACTTTATGGCTTATTTTAGTTAATTTTGGTAATTTAAGAAAATTTTTAGATTTTGGGATAAGGTCTTCGGACATTACCTAATATATTTTCTATGAATATAAAAGAATATCTTTATAAAAAATAAAGCTCACTTATCACATTTATAAGGTAACTTTACCAAATTGGAAATATTGAGAAAATAAACTTGTTTGTTCATTAATAGAGGAACTATCTGATAGATTTACGGTTTTGAACTACCTTACATATAAATAGATATAGCACCTTAGTCTACATTGTCATTTATTATTAACAATAATAACCATTTACCTTATTTTTCAACTAACATATAACAAGTATGGATATGTATTAATGATTGTAAGTCTATAAAGAATAATTAACCCCGAGGAAATAAATGAAACAAGAGACAGATGGAAATCAATGGATGAGATACAGAGTTGCTTGCCTTGTATTTGAAAATTTAATTTGGCAATGATACTTTTATTGTTGGTGCCTAAATATATTTTTCTTTCTAGGGATTTGAATGTTCAATGAATAGTCAAGCAATAAATAATAAAAATAAAATATTACTGTTTCTCAAGCAAATGGACTATTTTCTTTAAAATTCCTTCATTTTAACAAGGTAACTATAGGCATTCATATCTATTAGGCTCAGGAGGATTCTGGTCCACTTTTAATACACTCTTTGGTTAGAATTTTTTCCTCTCTGTAAATAATGACTTGAGAAAATTAGATTAAGTTCACTATGTTTCTTATCACCAGAAAAGGACACTGAAGGTAATTTCAGTTGATAGTTAAGAAGTTTTTCTTACTAAATGTAAAATGTGAATAAACTCACATTATTCATTTTGTTCATGGGCCTCAGTAATTAAGGCAATTACCCAATTAACTATGTCAAAGTATTAATTCTCCACCCCTTGAGTCAGGGTTTAGATTTCTTTATGAGCGCCATTCAATGAAGACTAATGTCTCATATACTTCTCCCATTTGAGGTAATATAGTGAGCACACAGTAATTGTCATCAGGGAGTTTATCATCTAAGAAAAATGATGAGCTAAAATCAGCAACATAAAATAATTTAATGCAAGCCAAATGCAATAGTTACCCTTGCGAATTAAATGCAGTTCATTGACAGCAGTGACTCTGATTGAATGAAAAAGTGATTTGCTGTGAGCAATACTGATATTGGAAAAGTGTAATCTTCCTATTTATTCATTATCCCCCACATGGGAAGGGCATATGCTAACATAATAAGGTACTTAAATTTAAAATATCTAATAGTTTACATAGAAAGTGTTAGATATTTTCTAACTGCTTTATATAGTAACACTAATTGTGTGGCATTCAACAATTTAGTTCAGCAATACATGATTATTACCATTTGGGGGCACTTATTTCATGGTGACATTTTATATTTATTTGACAGAAAAAAATCAAGAAACACATCCAAAGAAGTTGAGATATTTATTGATATTTATACAAATATATAATTATAGAAATTATTCCTTAGGTGTTTTAGTAAAGTCTCATCATTGATACTGTCTAAATAATAAAAGGGTAACTAATATTAGAAAAAAATTATGTAATATATATGTTATATTTATGATTGTCCCTTTTGCAGTCCAAAGTCATAAATAACTGAAGTATGTTTACAGCTGAGGGAGTATGCATATGTTAGTATATGCACATATTATACTAATAGTTTATAATAATTTTTGAAAAGAGAAGATTATGGGATTTTTATCTCAGTGAGAGTTTTACATTGCATTTATAGAACACAGAAGAAACACATGGAACCAACACATTTCAAAAATAATTATGTGTAATCATTACTAATAAATAACTTGAAGTATGATTTTAAGACTAATTGCCATATGTTTTATATATATATGTGTGTGTGTGTGTGTGTGTGTGTGTGTGTGTGTGTGTGTGTGTATAGTATACATCCTTATTATTTCTAGTGCTGGAATATTGTCTTCACCTGACAGGAAAGAGAGGAAAATTAGCCTTATTGCTTTAATATTGTTCTAAATTGTTTTAATGTTTAATAGTTAACTGT
Source organism: Homo sapiens (assembly GCF_000001405.40). Classification (NCBI taxonomy): domain Eukaryota; kingdom Metazoa; phylum Chordata; class Mammalia; order Primates; family Hominidae; genus Homo; species Homo sapiens. Next base: position 21,524,969 of record NC_000005.10, on the reverse strand, counting down.
CTGCATTTAATAAATGTAACTCAGCTAAGATATATTGCAATTAAACAATGAATAGAGAAATTTTCATAAAGTATATTTTTATTTGTGATGTAATCCAAAAATATAATATGCAATCAAGCTCCTACTTCCATTTAAATTTTTGCTGTTGAATTAAAAATAATTTAAAAGAATTCATTTTGGAAGGTAGGTAATGCTATTTTTAATGAGTAATTTGATATATAATTACATGGTAATTTAAAGTATAGTGTGCTTTTGAGACATATGATTTTGACATTAACTAGATATGTTGCTCAATTTGTATTATGTTATGTATTTCAAAATTAAATGACAATAGGAATAATTTTATGATGTTTATATTGCTTTATCAAATTATCTATAATTCTATGGGAATCCCCTCAAGACCATTCTGGTTATAAAAACACTCAAAAATTTATTGAAATCTGTAGAAGAATGTTGCAGATGTAAATAAGTAAATGATTTAAAACTGTAGTTAATAATTAATGAACCTCATTTGCATAGCCTTTTTATTATGAAATAGCAATGAGAAAAACTAGTAATCAGAACTCTAACACAATTGATTCAGATGAGCTCAAAACAAAAATGTAACTATATTTTATCTAAAATGTTTATTAGCAGAATTTGCTAGTAGTTTTTGGCTTGAATTTTTTTTCATCAGTATGCAGCATTTTATAACCTATTGTCTATTAGAATCTTGATTTAATAAAAGGCAAAAATTAAGTATATTAACAGTTCGTACCTCTAATAAATGTGAAAGGCTGATTTCTTTAAAGGTGCAAATTCAGAGCCTTAGCAGAGGACTTTGCAATCCATTGATATTTATTCTGAATTAACTGTGGATAACTCAAGGTTTCCTTGAGGATAGTCCTGCCTTTATAACAAGCACAATTTCTTGTGCAGAATGTAGTAGTATATATGTATGCAAAATGTCCATAGGTGCTAATTTGTTACCAATGAAGGGAGCTCTCAGCTTTTGGAACTTACCTAACTTTATTTTTGCTGCATCTGAAAGTGAACATATTGATAGTACACATATCATGGCAGGTAGTCCACAGAAAGTCTGTATTTCAGATATTGTAGATGTGGGAGTAGAGTTAGAAGGGATCTTTCTTACTAAAGAAGAACAAAATTGAAATAATGCCATAGTTTTTCTTCCCAACCATTTTTATTTAAATGACTAGGATATTGTAGAATCAACACGTTCTAACTCCAGATATACTAACAGTAAAAAGAACTGAGAGAGACACACCTAAAACAAGTGCAATTAACAGTAATAATGAGATAAAAACAGATATTACTAAGTGTTTCAATATGTTATCTCATTTGTCTCTCAGAAAGACTCAGCTCTTCTACTCTCGTTGGTGGACCAAGGGATTTTGACCCTGTAGTTTTCCTTGCAGTGATGTTGGCCATGTGACTAGGTTTGGCTAATGGACCGTGAGTGAAAGTAATATTTGTCACTTTCAGTTAAAACAATTAAATCTGATGTGTCTGATCCATCTTGCTCTTTTGTTGGCCATCATAAAGTTTACATAAGCTAAAGCAGCAATATATATGCAAAAATTTCTATATTAAATTTTATTAACCTGACTGATTTTCTGTTCTATGTCTAATGCATAAAATTTTAGATTTGTATAAACTAAAATTTTTAAAATATTAACAACTGTATCTTTTAATAAAGATGTTTGAAGCATAAGATTTGTTTTCTATTATTTCTCAACTTTTTAATTTATTTCATTAATATATAGTAATAGATGTACATATTTTGAGAGTATATGTGGTAATTTAATACAACGATATAATTTGTAAAGATGAAATCAGTATAACTGGGGTAGCCAATCATCTCAAATAAATTTCTTTGCCTTATGGTAGACACAAACTATAGCTATATCTTCTAGCTATTTTGAAACATACAACAGATTAGTGTAAACTATAGTCCCTTAAAAATGACTCTTGAGAGCTCTTTCTGTCCACCATGTGAAGCTGCATTGAGAAGGCAGCAGTCTGAAACCCAAGAGAGCTCTCTCACCAGAACCCAATTATGCTGGCTCTCTGCTGTTGGACTTCCAGCCTCCAGAACTGTGAGATGTGCATTCCGTTATTTAAAAGCCACTCAGGTTATGGAACTTTATTAAAGCAGCCTGAACTGCTGAAGATGGAAATTGATCATGAGAAGTGGGAGTGCTGTTATTATAAATACCTAAAACAAAGTGAAAATGGTTTTGGGCTCAGTGATTGGCAGAGATTGATGAGGTTTTATGCAAAATGCTAGATTACTGTGGAAAAAATTTAAAAGCCAATTCTCGTGAGGGCTCGGAAAGAAATATAGAAGAAAACGCTGTCTTCTCAGAAAATAATTAAATAATCATGAACAGAATATTGATAAAATATGGACAGTAAAGGTCATTCTGTTGGAGTCTCAAATGGAAATGAATATGTTATTGGAAAATGGAGCAAAAGCAATCCATGTTGAAAAGTGGAAACAAACTTTTTTGAATTGTATTCATGCTCTTGTGTTTTGCGGAAGGTGGAACTTGTGTGCAGTGAAATTGGACATTTAACCCAGCAGATTTCTCAGCAACATGTAGAAGCAGCAGCTTGGTTCCTTCTGAATCTGTAGAGTCAAATGTAGAAAAAGAAAAAGGTTTGAAGATGGAATGGTTAAGGAAAAAGTAACCATAATTTAAGATCTGGGAAATTCTCAGCCTGTCCATATTGCAAAAAAAGCGAGAAAGTGTGTTCTGAAGAGAACATGAGGAGTGTTTCGGACCCTTACTGATTTGATTAATATGGGTGTGAACCATAGGCTTAATCAAACATCTCAACACAAACCATGACTAGAAATGGGATTACACCAGGAGAAACACTGCCAGTTGGGACTAAAGGAAACAGAGATAATGGGACGAAATAAAGGAAGACATTCAGAATGCTTAAGCCCTACAGGCCTGGACCCGAGAGCAGAGAGCTATTCAGTTGTGGATGTGTGCTATTCTCTTCTTCAAAATTAAGGAAGGGGGGCTCAAAGGGGATTTGGAGACAATTACAGCTGCTACTTTTAGCAAAAATCCAGAGGGTATGGCAAGGTGGGCCATGGTTGCCTCCATTCTGATTTCAAAGGACAGAAATGATGCTCAGAGGAGCTGTGTGGGAGGGCCATCCAGTGAAGCCCTGGGTGAGTGACCTCAGCCCTGACAAAAGACTGTGCCATAAGTGGGTCCAGTGCATAGAGTCAGCAGCGAGGAGTGCCTCACTGAGCTGTCGGGGACTGTCTGGAAGGTGAGTCATCAAGCCAAAGAGGATGCTTCTTGAACCTTAGGGTTTGATGGAGTTTGCCCTGTTAGGTTTTAGATTTACTTGGGATCCAGCATTCATATATTTTATTTTTTTCGAATAGTGGTTCTTTTTGGAATGGGAATGTTTATCCTATGCCTGTCTCACCATTGTATTTTGAAAATTCATATTGTTTGATTCCACAGGTTCACAGATGAAGAGAAATTTTGTGAGAATGAACTGTACCGTGAAGCTCACCTGCATCTGATTTAGGTAATATTTAAATAAGACCTTGGACTTTAGACTGGACTTGAGGCTGGAATGAGTTAAGACTTGTGGATTTGTTGGAATGGAATGACTGCATTTTGCATGTGAAGACATGAATTTTGGGGAACCTGGGGCAGAATGTTACGGACTGAATTTTTAAAGTGTACCCTCAAAATCTGTATATTGAAATCTTAACTGTCAATGTAATGGTATTAGTATGTGGGACCTTCAGGAGGTAATTAGGTTGTGATAGTAGAGGCCTCATGAATAGGCTTAGTGTTCTTATAAAAGGGACCTAAGAGAGCTCTCACTTCTTTCCCCATGTGCTTATACAAAAACCCAGCAGTCTGCAGCCTGCAAAAGGGCCCTCCCCAAAACCAGAACATCCTGGCACTCTGACTTTGGACTTCCAACCCCTAGAACAGTAAGAAATACTTTTTTTGTTATTTGTAAGCCACTCAATCTATGGTATTTTGTATAGCAGCCCAAACTAAGACACTCCTCTACACTACAGTGTACACCACATTCTTCTGCCTCTTAGTATGCTTCAGTCACATTGAACTATATTTTGTTTACTAAACATGACAAATTTATTACTGCACTATGGTTTTGCCATATAATTTTTCCTGTCTTTTCAAACAGAAATTATTTCACAGCATACGCAGCTATAGGCAATTATCTAGCTTATGTATAAAATTACTTTCCTGATATTTGTCTCATTTTTTGTTTTTAAATGTTTTAAATAAATAATAATTGTTTTGAGGGGTACAGTATGATGTCTTCGTATATATTTATACTGTGGAATGATTAAATCAAGCTGCTTAACACATCTCTTATGTCACATATTTATCTTTTTGTTGTGAGAACACTGAAAATGGACTTTTTAGCAATCGAAAAAAGGCAAACCCTTAAAAGTAGAGAGTAGAATGCTAGTTAATGCTGGAGGCAAGGGATAGGGAATGGGGAGATGTTGTTCACAGGGTACAGTTTCAGTTAGACACAAAGATTGAGTTTTAGAGATTGACTTTATAGCAGAGTGACTATATTTAAAAATGACTTATTGTACATTTCAAATTTTCTATTTAAAATACACACAGTATCTGTATTCCCAGTTCTTAAAACATGACCTATTAAATAACAGATTTGCAAGACTGAATGATTTTTTTTTACCTTGTCCTGATCTCTAGATTTTTTTAAAACTTTATCTCATTAATTGCTAATTCTCTCTTTATGAATGTTAAATACTTAAAATAGCACCAAACATAACTAAACAAAACAAAAAGAAAATTTGTTTTTTATTTCAAATGGCATGTTCCATTGCGTTCTAAGACTGGACTGTCTTGGAGATAAAGGAGACTTCATTATTTTATGTAATATTCCTTTGAGAAATCCTGAGCTTTGTGCAAAAATGACATACTTCATTTTTTTTTGCATAATTTTATCACTCCATAGAGCCCAGATCGAATTCCTAAG